>NC_000010.11:49991580-50143095 GCF_000001405.40 Homo sapiens
AGTGAAATAGCCTAAATGCAGCAGTCGAATAAACGAGTTGATAAATTTTTATCAATGATTACATCTTTTTTTCTTTTCTTCCTCTGTGCATATAGCTTTGGAGTTTAACCCTTCTGCCAATCCAGAGGCAAGCACAATATTCCAGAGGAACTCTCAAACAGATGGTGAGACGACATTGTCTTTTCCACCAAGAGAAAGAATAAAAGCTCTTGTTTGATCAGGTTATAGAAAGTATTTAGAAAAACTCATATTGGTTTAAATTTTTCACCTTTTCACATGTTCACTTGTCTTATTTTAATATGTGATATACTTTCCTTTAGTTGTTATGATGTTAGTGAAAACGTGTAACCTTTTTGTTTATACATTTTGCCATCTTTTTATCAACACAATTAATTTGTCATGTGATGGAGGAGTCATGGATTTCTCTTTATAATTCTTGGATTTATCTTTATTTATAATTAATGGATTTATCTTTATTTATAATCCCTTTTCCCTTGCTCCAAAAAGTACACTTTAAAGATGAATGATAGAACTTAGGCTTCAGCTTGGTTTTCATTTAAACAAATTAAAAAACATAGTTGTTTATCATCAGGGATTGAATCTGTGATTTGGGCCTCCTCTTACACAGTCCTCTGACCACATTCATTTACCACATCCAAGTTCATGCTACTCAAAAGTTTTAGGTTATTAACTTTTTCATTTGATGTAATGTAAATTTAAACATGCCCTACTCCTGCTTATTTCCCTCAATGTTATGTTAAATCCTCATTTATTTGCCAACAAGCCATACACAGCCAAGTTTTCCGGTTGACTTAAACAGCAAGAATACAAGTGAGGGTTCTATAATAATGTGCGAAGTAATGCAGCACAGTAAAACACGGGAGTTTGCAACCTTTGTTTTTATAGTTTGAGTAGACTTTGCCCATCTTGAGTCAGTTATTTCTGGTTAGAATTTGTCTTCATTTTTTACATTACTGTAAAGAGATACTTAAGGCTGGGTAATTTATAACAAAAAGATGTTTAACTGGCTCAAAGATTTTCAGGCTGTACAAACATGGCTTTAACATCTGCTTCTGGTGAGGGCCTCAGCAAACTTATAATCATGATAAAAGGCAAAGGGGAAGCAGGTGGTTCCACACGGTGAAAGAGGGAGGAGAGAGGGGAAGGGGGAAGGTACCACACTTTTTTTTTTTTGTTTTGATATGGAGTCTCACTCTGTTGCCCAGGCTGGAGTGCAATGGCACGATCTTGGCTCACTACAACCTCCATCTCCCAGGTTCAAGCAATTCTCCTGCCTCAGCCTCCCGAGTAGTTGGGACTATAGGTGGGCACCATAACACCTGGCTAATTTCTGTATTTTTGGTAGAGACAGGGTTTCACCATGTTGGCCAGGCTGGTCTGAAACTCCTGACCTCAAGTGATCTACCCGCTTCAGCCTCCCAAAGTGCTGGGATTACAGGCTTCAGCCACCGCACCTGGCCAGTACCACAGTCTTTTAAATTACCATAATGAGAATGTGCTTATTACCATGGGGATGGGACCAAGCCATTCATAAGGAATCCACTGCCATTACCCAAACACCTCCCACTAGGCCCTATCTCCAACATTAAGGGTCACATGTTAACATGAGACTTGGAGGGGCAACATATCCAAAACATATCAGAATTGTATTTCCCAGTTCCTTCCAGAGGCATGGGCTTCTCACACCTAGAGAGCATGGAAGCAGTAAAAGAAAAGCTATTCCATGTCCCTCACTCTTCAGTGGTAGGAGCTTTTGCCTACAAGGCCCTTCCAGCATCAAAGGCAGAGGCAGTGTAGGAAGCAAAGCATGGCCCAAGTCCCTCTTGGGGCTTTTATTATTCTGGCCTCTTTTTAGAGGAAAAAAAAATGATTTTTTGTGCTGCAGACACCATGTCCAATTAGGTTTGTATACTCATTTTAAACATCAAAATTTAGGCCAGGCTCTGTGGCTTACACCTGTAATCCCAGCTCTTTGGGAGACTGAGGTGGGTGGATCACGAGGTTAGGAGATCAAGACCATCCTGGCTAACACAGTGTAACTCTGTCTCTACTAAAAATACAAAAAACAATTAGCTAGGCATGGTGGCATGTGCCTGTACTCCCAGCTAATCAGGAGGCTAAGGCTGAAGAATTGGTTGAACCTGGGAGGCAGAGGTTGCAGTGAGCTGAGATCCCGCCACTGCACTCGAGCCTAGGTGACAGAGTGAGACTCCATCTCAAAAAAAAAAAAAAAAAAAATTAAGATATGTTACTTTCCAGTTGTGTAAAGACCGTTTTTTAATTTTGATTTGTTTTTAGTGACATATTAGTAGATAACCACTAAGTGTGGTTCAAGATGCTTACAGGGATTCTGTTGCATCTAGAGATAGGTGTCTGGTCAGGAAGTAGTTCTTAGAGCTGTTAGCTCTTAGAGTCTGATAATTAAAGTAAGCTATGTATAAATGCAGAATGAGAGAATACTAATGGATCATGGCTCATATATGCAACAGTTAAACTTTTTATTAGCTAAATTTTTCATCTGGCCTAATTTTTTTACCCTTTTCTTTTGTACATGAGGATTCTTTCATTTGTATGTAATAGAAACAAAAAGTAAACTAAATGAAAAGCTAAGTTTTTAGATTTGACTTATGAAATTAATCATGCCAGATAATTTAAATTATAAATTATTGAAAATTATTTTTTAAATGGAATTTTGTCTCATTTTACGTAGGAGTAATCAGTAAGATGTTAACAACTACTTTTATTTTATGGTATTTGTATCAGAAGTGACCAGTTTTTTTTTTTTATTCTTAGTTGTAGAAATAAGAAGAAGCAACTGTACAAACCATGTAAGTAAACACTCAAATACTTAAGAAATTGATAGTTTGACATAAAAGGATGTCTCTCTTGATTTCTTTAAATTACAATGTGGACCTGGTGGTGGTAGCATGGACCTCTTTTTGTGGATTTTCTAAATCTCTTCTATTTTCCTGAGTATTAAATTTATCCAGAAAAGTGTTTAGTTTAGCGTGTCCACCTTTTAAAGATTTCTGACATTTAAGTTAAATTTCAATAGTCTGGTTCAAAAGATCTGCCTTACGGCTGGGCATGGTGGCTAACGTCTGTAATCACAACACTTTAGGAGGCCGAGGCAGGCTGATCATCTGAGGTCAGGAGTTTGAGACAACCCTGACCAACATGGTGAAATTCTGTATCTACTAAAAATACAAAAGTAGCCGGGCGTGGTGGTGCATGCCTGTAATCTCAGCTACTCAGGAGGCTGAGGCAGGAGAATCACTTGAACCCAGGAGGCGGAGGTTGCAGTGAGCCAAGATCGCGCCATTGCACTCCAGCCTGGGCAACAGAGCGAAACTCTGTCTCAAAAAAAAAAAAAAAAAAAAAAGTGCCTGAAATATTTAATCTTATTTTTAATGAAAGAACAAAAATAGAATAGTTAAGTTAATTGCCAGCACTGTCTATTGACTTTCTATCACAGCAGGTAAAAGCATACCTTCCCCGCTACACCATGATCTTATGTTTCTCCCTGTGTTTCTTCCAATTGTAGCACACTTTTTAATTAAATCAGTAATATTTACATGATTATGACTCTGCAAATATTATTCACTGCTAAGTCATATGGTGTTTTCACTGTGTCTCTGCATTCCATGTCCTTCATCCTGTCTCTGAAACAGTTCTGAAATCTGAGCACTTCTGCAATTCTCCTGGATCTTCTTTTTTCCTAGCCTACGTTAGTTTATCTATCCAAATATTGTTAAGTAGCCTCTGGGTGCTCTGTTTGCTTTCACATCCATTATTTTTTAGCATGAAGCTAATTTTCTGACTATATTCATTTGCCTATTTTCTAACAGCTGTTTTTCCCCCAAGTATTGTAGCATTTATCACATGCCTTTCAAAGATATTTTCCATCTGCAAAAGCACATCTGTTTCTTTTTATGTGTGTGTGTGGGGCAACTTTCTTTGGCCTTTTGTCATCCTAGTTCAATATAGCGTGGGTTTCCCTAGATATGCTCGATGTCTGCTTTTCTGGGCTAACTCCTTAAAGTCTTTTGGGATCTCACGTAACTGCTGTCTTGTGTGGGATCGCCTGAGTCCTAGATTCTGTGTTTCCTTCTGTCCTGTTATCATCTCTAGTTGTAGTTGAACACATTTTCCTGGGTGGAGATGTTAAAATCCCTCCTCTTTGATAGAGAGTACACCTCTAGGTTGAATCTAAATTTTATGGTTCTGAAGACATTTTGCAGCTGTGCTCTTATTACAGTGTTGTTCTTGAATCTATTGCCAGTGTGTGATACGTTATTTACAACCAGGTTTTAGTTATCTGCGGAAGCTTTTTAGAATCTCTCTCTCTAAGGTTCTGAAATTTTATAACAGCTTGTTGGGGATCTTTTCATTTTATTGAGGCTACTAAACCTGCAGACTATCTCTTCTTGAGAATTTTTTTTTATTTTCTCTGTTACTTTTTTACTGATAGTCTTGTTATTCAGATGCTAGGCTGCTTAGACCAGTATGCCTGCATTGATTTTTAATTTTTCCCCTTCTATTTTTTTCAGTTTGTCTTTTTATTCTAGTTCTGGGATATTCTGTGACTTTATCCTCTACTATTTCTATTGAATTTTGTAATTTTTGGAGTGTTTTAAGATTTTTTTTTAAAGTTTTGCTCCTGATTTTGACTGGTCCTATCAATTCCTTTTTTCTATTGTTTTGATCTCTTTTCTTGGAGGCTTCCTTCCAATGTGTGGTGGTCCCTGGCCTGCTTTATTTGGAAGCAGGATTTCTGTTAACTGATAGCATCAGTGTGAGGCCTTAGAAGCCTGACTAGCTTTTCATTTGGGAGACCTCAGTGTATTATCTGGGGATCTTTATTGAAGACATTTCAGTTTCTTCTGAGAAGGATCTCCCAATTTTCTGCCTGGAAAGTAAAAGCAGGCCTGGAAAGGAAAAGCAGAGTTAGCGAAGAAAGTTGGAGTTCCATTTTTGGTGTACAGTTTTCTTTATATCTCAGGTTTAAGCCATGGTATCTCTGAGCCAGAAATTCTCAGGTTTGATATATCCAGAGAACACACATCTAAGTTTCTTGTCAGATGGAAGGACAGGTGGACTTGGGGCTCTAGTTAGAGATTTGCAACTGACCTTGCTGGCTTTTTTTTTTTTTTTTCACATTTTACCCTACTTTCCAAAGTGCCATTGGCCTGTAAGTTCACAACCTGCCTTTAGTTCTGCAAGACAAACTGGCTCACTTGTGTTCCAGTCACTTTCTGTAGGCACCAAAGTTGTGTTTCTGTGTTATTTACCACTCCTTTATCTACTTTTTATGTCTCAGCATTTATTAAAAATTATCTCTGTCAACCTTCTGTGCTGGTCATGGGTGTAACCTTTATTTTATGACTGATGAGGCTTCCGGAGGGAGACGAAATAAATTTGTGGTCAATCTATTATATTTAATCCAAATTTAGGACCTGTGTTTAAATCAAAGTCTAATTTGAGTATAATTAATGATATTAAGCCAGAGAATTTTTTAAATTAATGTATCTATAATAAGCATATTACACTTTTCTCCTAAGGCCTTGTTTAATATTTTCATTCAAAGTTTATCCACTGCCATATACTTCCCATTACTTCACAACATAGATGGAGCTGTTTTCCTGAATGCCCAAAGTGTTAGAAATATTTAAGTTAAATAAGATTTGTTCATTTTTAGCCTGGTCAACATAGCAAGAGCTCATGTCTACAAAAAGGTTAAATAACAAATTAGCCAGGCCTGGTGGCATGCGCCTTTCGTATTACCTACTCAGGAGGCTGAGGCAGAGGATCACTTGAGCTCAGGAGTTTGAGGCTGCAGTTAACTATAATTGCACCACTGCACTCCAGCCTGGGCAACAAAGGGAGACCCTGTCTCGGAAAAAGGAAAAAAGTTACTAATTCTTTAAAAACCTATCTAAAATTTGTCCTGCCCAAAAGGAGAGTGAAAAATATGAACTTTAGTCTTTGTTTTATTTTATGTTTGCTGAGAAAAATGCTGTACTTTTATTTATTTATTTATTATTTCCATAGGTTTCTGGGGGAACAGGTGGCATTTGGTGACATGCCTAAGTTCTTTAGTGATGATTTGTGAGATTTAGGTGCACCCATCACCTGAGCAGTATCCGCTGAACCCAATTTGTAGTCTTTTATCCCTCACCCTCCTCCCAGCCTTTCCCCCAAGTCCCCAAAGTCCATTGTATCATTCTTATGGCTTTGCATCCTCATAGCTCAGCTCCCACGTATGAAAGAGAACATGATATTTGGTTTTCCATGCTGAGTTATTTCACTTAGAATAATAGTCTTACTTCCATCCAGGTTGCTGGGAATGCCATGAATTTATTCCTTATTATGGCTGAGGTGGAATTCCTCATATATATATATATATATATATATGTATGTATATCACGGTTTCTTTATCCACTCATTGATTGATGGGCATTTGGGCTGGTTCCATATTTTTGTAATTGTAATTTGTTTGAGTTCCTCATAGATTCTGGATAATAGCCCTTTGTCAGATGTATAGACTGTGAAGATTTCCTCCCACTCTGTGGTTGTCTGTATACTCTGCTGATTGTTCCTTTTCCTGTGCAGAAGCTCTTTAGTTAAGTCTCACCTATTTGTTTCTGTTGCATTTGCTTTTGTGTTCTTGGTCATGAAGTCTTTGCCTAAGCCAGCGTCTAGACGGGTTTTTCCAATGTTATCTTCTAGAACTTTTATGGTTTCAGGTCATAGATTTATGTCCTTGATCCATCTTGAGTTGATTTTTGTGTAAGGTGAGAGTTGAGGATCCAGTTTCATTCTCCCGCATGTGGTTTGCCAATTATCCCAGCACCATTTGTTGAATAGGGTTTACTTTCTTCACTTTATGTTTTAGGTGGCTTTGTTGAAAATCAGTTGGCTATAGGTATTTGAGTTTATTTCTGGGTTCTCTATTCTGTTCCATTGGTGTATGTGCCTATTTTTATATCAGTACCATGCTATTTTGGCGACTATGGCCTTATAGTATAGTTTGAAATCAGGTAATGTCATGCCTCCAGATTTGTTGTTTTTTCTTAGTTTTGTTTTGGCTATGCCGGTTCTTGTTTGGTCCATATAAATTTCAGGATTGTTTTTTCTAGTTCTGTGAAGAAGGATGGTGTTATTTTGATGGGAGTTGCATTGAATTTGTAGATTGCTTTTGGCAGTATGGTCATTTTCACAATATTCATTCTACCCATTCATGAGCATGGGGTGTCTTTCCATTTGTTTGTGTCCATGACTTCATTCAGCAACGTTTTGTAGTTCCCAACGGCATATCAAAAAATAATCCGGCCAGGCACGGTGGCTCACACCTGTAATCCCAGCACTTTGGGAGGCTGAGGGAGACGGATCATGAGGTCAGGAGCGGGAGACGGATCATGAGGTCAGGAGTTCGAGACCAGCCTGGCCAACATGGTGAAATCCCATCTCTACTAAAAATACAAAAGTTAGCCGGGTGTGGTGGCGCTCACCTGTAATCCCATCTACTCAGGTGGCTGAGGCAGGAGAATCGCTTGAACCTCGGAGGCAGAGGTTGCAGTGAGCCAAGATCACCGCACTGCATACTCCAGCCTGGGCAACAGAGCGAGACTCCATCTCAAAAAAAAAAAAAGATAATCCACCATGATCAAATGGGTTTCATACCAGGGATGCAGGGATGGATTAACATACACAAGTCAATAAATGTGATACACCACATAAACAGAATTAAAAACAAAAAATCACATGATCATCTAAACAGATGCAGAAAAAGCATTTGACAAAATGCAGCATCCTTTTATGATTAAAACCCTCAGCAAAATCAGCATAGAAGGGTCACAGCTCAATATAAGAAAAGCCATCTATGACAAACCCACAACCAACATAATACTGAAAGGGGGAAAAGTTGAAAGCATTCCCCCCGAGAACTGGAACAAGACAAGGATGCCCACTCTCACCACTTGTATTCAACATACTACTGGAAGGCCTAGCCAGAGCAATCACACAAGAGAAAACAATAAAAGGCATGCAGATCAGTAAAGAGGAAGTCAAACTGTTGCTGTTTGATGATGATATGATCATATACCTAGGAAACCCTAAAGACTCCTCCAAAAAGCTCCTAGAACCGATAAATGAATTCAGCAAAGTTTCAGGAGACAAAATTAATGTACACAAATCAGTAGCTCTGTTATACCCCAGAAGCGACCAAGCTTAGAATCAAACCAAGAACTCAACCCCTTTTCTGATAGCTGCAAAAATAAACTAAACTAAAATAAAATACTTCGGAATAGACCTAACCAAGGAGGTGAAGGATGTCTACAAGGAAAACAACTTTAGTATTTTTAATGGGTTAAAATGAGAGGCAGCAGGTACAGCAGAAGAAGTCAGTGCGTGGGCATCCGCATCCAATGGGTACTGCACCTTTGATGGTAAGGCTTTGGTTTTGACTTACTAAATTACTAGGTACGATTATTTTCTAGTTTTTGTCATTAAACCTTAAAACTACTAAGTAACCCCTTCCATTTCTTGTTAAATATTGTAAAATTTCATACTCTCATTTATGCTGCCTGACGTTAGAGTATTTGTTTCTATTTTGTGACTACCTTAAATAATACCTATAAAGAGTAAACTGTTAGTAGTGTTTTTGCTGTAATTAAATGTAGTAAGACTTACCTTCCAAATGATAACTGAATTGTCAAACACTTGTCGAAGTTTTGGATTTACTCAAAATTCTATGCTCAGCAGCTGGAGGTAGGAAGAGTAAGGGCCCTCCCTTACTCTTATGGAGAGGCATACTTTCTCACAAGGGGAATACTCTGCAGGAATTAGCATCTTGTAAGCAGTGGTGAATTCAACTAATTAGTGTATAAAAATACATTTTTTGGTGTGGCTGCCGACAAAGAGATCCAAGAGGGTAGATGGAGTCGAGCTTGCTGAAGCAAGGAAAGAGAAAAGCAGTATTCTAGGCAGAGAGCAGGGGTAGAGCAGGAAAATGGCTAGGTGCAGGTCAGATGATTTATAGAATGCAATTGATCAAGTTTTGAAGTGAATGCAAAGTATTCTCCGAGAGTCTCATTTGAGTCATGTCTTGGCAGTCTTATTTAAACATGAAGTGAAAGTTAGATTTTTTAAGTTGTCATTTGTTTTCAGGGTGTGAGAGAATATTTAAGTGATACTCTTTTTATCCTCCACATAAGAAAATAGGACTAGAGAAACCTATGGCTTCCTCACTTGTTGGTGGCCTAGCAGCCCTGGCACACAGAGCCTCTGAATCTGAAACACTTCTTTTGTAACAATATCACCTGAAATAATACATTTAGGATTAGTAATTTAGTAAATGCATTAGTCTTGTATTCACTGCAATAAAATGCTCTTGTAGCAGGATTATTTAATACATTACATTTTATCGTAGTAAATAAATAATAGAAGGGCTGGGCGCCGTGGCTTACGCCTGTAATCCCAGTACTTTGGGAGGCTGAGGCAGGCAGATCGCGAGGTGAGGAGATCGAGACCATCCTGGCTAACACGGTGAAACCCCGTCTCTACTAAAAATACAAAAAGTTAGCCGGGCATGGTGGTGGGCGCCTGTAGTCCCAGCTACTCAGGAGGCTGAGTCAGGAGAATGGCGTGAACCCGGGAGGCGGAGCTTGCAGTGAGCCGAGATTGCACCACTGCACTCCAGCCTGGGCGACAGAGCGAGACTCCGTCTCAAAAATAAATAAATTAATTAATTAATTAATAGAAATTCTCAGCTGCTTTTTATTGCTGCAGAAAAAAAATGAAATCTTATTTTAAACTTTTCTTTTTTTTTTTTTTTTGAGACGGAGTCTCACTTTGTCTGCCGGCCTGGAGTGCAGTGGCGCGAACTCGGCTCACTGCAAGCTCCGCCTCCTGGGTTCACCCCATTCTCCTGTTTCAGCCTCTCAAGTAGCTGGGACTACAGGGGCCTGCTACCACGCCCGGCTAATTTTTTGTATTTTTAGTAGAGACGGGGTTTCACCATGTTAGCCAGGATGGTCTCGATCTCTTGACCTCGTGATCCGCCCGCCTCCACCTCCCAAAGTGCTAGGATTACAGGTGTGAGCCACCGCGCCCCGCGAAGCCGACTTTTCCCATTATTTTTAACGGTAATTCATAAAATCCTTGTTAGGTTTGATGACAGGTACCATATTAAGGGCAGCATTTTATAACCCATATCTTAAACATCATCTCTGGAAGTTGAGAGCCTCCAATGGGTTTTCTATAGAGTGCACATGATACCACACTCAGGCAGTTCATGGAGTGTAAGACATATCTTAGTGCTTTGTCATTTGACATTTTAACTGAGAAAATAATACACTTTGATAAGTTTGACTTACAGTTCCCTTCCCCTTCAGGTATCTGCTGTGCGTTTCAGTCAACAATACAGCTTGTGTTCGACAATATTCCTTGATGACAGCACAGCCATCCAGCATTATCTTACAATGACAATAATATCGTGAGTACAACTATGCTGCCGAGGGACAGATTCCTTTATTCTAAAATTATTTCAGTCATTTGGTTGTCCTTTTCAGCAATCAGTTTAAGAAATTGGAGTCAACCATATATTGATATCCAGATTCTGAATATTAAGTATCAGTTTCTCTTTTAATCTTAGACGTCGTGGTGGAAGGAAAAATCAGTTAGCAAAGAAGCAATCCCAGAAACAGTGTATCTTTTTGATGCCTTTATGCCTTTAGACAATGTTGAACACAGTGAGAAGGATAGGTTCCCTTTATTGAATGTTTTTTGTGGAAACTTAGTTTTTCAATGCATCATAGGCCTAAATCAGTGTGCACTACTTTGGACATTATCCTTGGAAGAAGGAACAGCTTTTCTTCTTCTGGCACCACAGTGTATCTGCATTTGAATTTCTCCCATTGTGCATGAGCACCTCATGGGCCACAAAGATGCGCTTTGAGAGCACCCTGAGATGAAGTTTATTTTAAAAGGAACAACAACCAACACCACCACCAGCTCCACAGGGGCTGTCCAGTGTACATTATTCTCATCTTCTTGGGTTATTAGTCTTGATTTTTAGAACACAGTTTGGAAAGTGCTAATTTAGAATATTAATGTCTTTATCTTTAATTTAACTTTTCATTCTGTACACATAACTAGCTTATAAACAATTTTGTTTCAAATGCACTAGCCTTTTTAACTAATTCAATTGTCAATAACTTTTACTTCAATTAAAAGTGGAAAGTTTACACTCATAATAATGTCACTTTCCTCCCTCCCTTTTAACAATAGTTGAGAGGAAATTGTGTTTCGAACAAAAACTGGACTCAAACTCTGTCTCAAGTCCTGAGCTTTGGGACCTATTGAGTAATCACTAAATGTCTGTAGTCAGCTAAGTCTCTTAAATCTTTGAGCACACATACACAAAAATTACTTTGACTAGAGTCCCTGGCTTCTTCTGAGTTCCAAAGATTTTGATATGTTAGCATATAATTCAAAAGCAGCTTTGAAGATTAATTTTGCTGAAACAAATTTCGTGCTTTTTTCCTCATTATTCTACTTTTTAGAAGTCTACTTTTGAGAGTATAGTAAGTTTTAATTTGCCACCAGCAAGTTTGAGAAATGATCATTTGGTGTATTCACTATTGGTGAAATAAAGTTATTGAACAAATTAATAGGGCAAATTGGCTTCAAGAAGATATTTTGAAAAATGTTTTATCATGAATCAGTAGTGCACTGTTGTCAGTGGGATAGGTGGAACTCGCTGAGATCACTTATGCAAGGTTTTTTTCAAAATACAAGTCTGCAAACACATGTATCTTCCCATCTCCACTTTCCCTCTGTCTCTAGGCACTGAGAAGCCTTTTAGGAAAATCGGGATGGATGTGAGGCATCTTTCTGTGAAGAAAAGCATCCCAGAAGATTCTGATTTTCACCCCAGCTCAGTCATTCCAAACTTTGCTGCTGATTGAAATCACCTGGGAAACGTTTACCAAGAACCTTGATGCCCAAAGCCATACCCAATACTAATTAAATTAAAATGTCTCATGTTGAAGATGAGGCAGATATTAAAGCTTCTCAGGCGATTTTAATGTGCAGCAAAGTTTGAGAGCCACTGCTTAATTTGAGTTTAGGACGAGAAACTGCTCCTATTTGGTGGGACCTTGGGCAAGTCAGTTTTAAGGTCTGTTTCCCTGATCTGTAAAACGAGTGTTGAATTAAATGTCACATAAGGTCATTGGTCCTTTCCAGCATGTAACTTTAAATTCTGTGATTTTAAAATTATTTCAGAGATGAAAACTACTTGAAGCACTATAGACATATCCATCTCACATGCTAATATTACAGGCTTTTTAAAAAGTGCTAATATTGTGTAGACCTATTAGTAGAATTGAGATTTGCCTTCCCTCAGTTGTTTTGAGACTCACTCTACAAAATTAGCTGGGCGTGGTGGCACATGCCTGTAATCCCAGCCACTTGGGAGGCTGAGGCAGGAGAATCTCTTGAACCCGGGAGGCAGAGGTTGTGGTGAGCCGAGATCACACCATTGCACTCCAGCCTGGGCAACAAGAGCGAAACTCCACCCACCCCACCCCCCCAAAAAAAAATTATCTGAGCATAGTGGCGCAAACTTGTAGTCCCAGCTTCTTGGGAGGCTGAGGCATGAGAATCGCTTGAACCTGGGTGGTGGAGGTTGTGAGGAGTCAAGATGGCACCACTGCAGTCCAGTCTGAGCAAGAGAGACAGACTCTGGGTCAAAAAATAAATAAATACATAAAATAAATCGCATGGGACGAAAGGTTTCATGGGTAGAAAAGCATATAACAGGGAAATCTGTTATTATTTATATATTGTAATCACCAACAGAAACGCGTCTTCTAACGGCATATTTCCTTGCATTTTGGTTCTCATATTTTTGTAAAAAACAAAGAAATGAAAACAAAGTGCCCTTATGGTACTGTTCTGAACTAGAAGATTTGAATTTCAGGGCCGCTAGGAGAGTTTCCTCTGCCCCCCTTTTAAAAAATGTCTTCAGGCCTAACAAATGATAACATCTATTGTTATGAATTTTTTTTCCTTCCACAGTGTGACCTTGGAGATACCTCATCATATCACACAAAGGTGAGCTTTTTAGAAACCTGTCTTGTTATTCTAGCTAATTACTTTGCAAGATATCAAGCTCAGTGTTAGGTCACAGCTCTAGACATCATAAGCTGTATTGTGCCTACTAAAATATCGAAGCAAATTATTTGTATTTTCTTTGTTCCTTAAGACTCTCATAATTCTTAAATGACTGAGAATCTCAAAGAGTATGTGTTTATATTGATTATATTGATATTTAGTGTGGTAGAATTATACAGTTGAAATTTTTTCAAAATCTGTTTTTAGTTTAGATTTCACAGCCTTACCACTGTTGATATTATGGGCTAGATAATGCTTTGTTGTGAGGACTGTCTTGTGCATTGCAGAGAGTTTAGCGGTATTCATGGCCTCTACCAACTAGATGTCAGTAGTAACCCATGACCCAGGTTATAACAACAGAAAATATTCCTTGAGAACAGTATTGTTAACAGAAATTTTTCATTGAAAAATAACTTTTCTACAACAAAAAGTTGAGTAAAAAGTGCGTCATGTATTTATATTATTTGAAGTCTCTCATGTTGAGCTTAATAGGAGACAAATGGATTCTCTAGAGCTTTCTTTGCAATTTGCTTTAAAGAAGCAATAAGAGGCTGGGCACGGTGGCTCACGCCTGTAATCCCAGCACTTTGGGAGGCTGAGGCAGGCGGATCACAAGGTCAGGAGATCGAGACCATCCTGGCTAACACGGCAAAACCCCGTCTCTACTAAAAATACAAAAACTTAGCTGGGCGTGGTGGCACGCACCTGTAGTCCCACCTATTCTGGAGGCTGAGGCAGGAGAACCGCTTGAACTTGGGAGGCGGAGGTTGCAGAGAGCTGAGATGGTGCCATTGCACTGCAGCCTGGGTGACAGAGCAAGACTCTGTCTAAACAAACAAACAAAAAAAGCAATAAGCTGGTGGGGCGCAGTGGTTCACATCTGTAATCCCAGCATTTTGGGAGGCCGAGGTGGGTGGATCACTTGAGGTCAGGAGTTTGAGACCAGCCCGACCAACATGGTAAAACCCGCCTCTACTGAAAGTACAAAAAATGGCTGGGCGTGGTGGTGCATGCCTGTAGTCCCAGTTACTTGGGAGGCTGAGGCAGGAGAATCGCTTGAGCCTGGGAGGTGGAGGTTGCAGTGAGCCGAGATCTCGCCATTGCACCCCAGCCTGGGTGACAGAGAGAGACTCTGTCTCAAAAAAAGAAAAAAGAAGCAATAAGATGACCTAACCTCATGCAAATATGTAGTTGGTAGAAGGTGTATTTTTAAAGTTTTCAGACAGTTGTGGGTATTTGTTAACACTAAATCAAAACTTCACAAGTGGTGGTTTCTTAAATTAGTTACGGTGGCATTTTACATATTAATAAATTTATTCCATCAGTACTCATTGATCTTTCTTGCACAGTAAATGGATCTTTTGCTCCATACTTGTATTTATAATATCATGCATTAGTTACTTGGAATATATTGGTTTATGTTTTATTGTGTCAAAAATCACTTTTAGTTGAACCACCAATCTTACTTTAACACGCCTTTAAGTATTGAAAAGCTGCCAAGCCTACAGTAGAAGGAACAAGTTTTTCAAAGTCCAGAGGAAAGCTTAAATTTTATCATTGGGAACAAATACGTATTTCCCTTGAAGTGACAACCTCTCACTTCATTTATTTTTGAGAATGATAGTTGAACTGGTTTTTTAGACCGAGTTTCACTCTGTCACTTGGCTGGAGTGCATTGGCATGATCTCAGCTCAAGCAATCCTCTCACCTCAGGCTCCTTTGTAGCTGGGACCACAGATGTGTGGCACCATGCCAGGCTAATTTTCTTATATGTTTGACAGTGACAGGGTTTCGTTATGTTGCCTAGGCTGGTCTCGAACTCCCGAAGGAGCTCAAGCCATCTGCCTGCTTTGGCCTCTCAAAGTGCTGGGATTTTACAGGCGTGAGCCACTGCGCTGGCCCAGTTGTACTTTTAAATAAAAATGATGTTCTGTGAAAAAAGTGATTTTTCAGTTCACAGTTAAATCACGGATTCTTTAAAAACAAAAAAAAAAGCGCTTCTGGTTAACTTTCCACTTATTCAGAATATTAGAGACATGTCAAGATTTAACAACATTAATTTTTACTGCTTCATCAAAGACGTTCTTACGAAATTCAGGCTATGTTTTTTACCTGTAGGGGACAGTGAAGAATAGAATGACTACTAATGTAATTGGTACCACTGCCTTGATTTATGCTGAGAAACCAGCCATTGTACCCACTTTTGCTTTTATATAATCATGGCAAGTGTCAATGAAAAAGCAGGCAATGACTTTGTATTACTTTCACAAATTTTTAAAATTTTTCATCAGCTTTCTCAGGTTTAATTAGTATGATTCAGAACAGTGTTGGCCAGGCACAGTGGCTCAGGCCTGTAATCCCAGCACTTTGGGAGGCTGAGGCAAGCGGATTACCTGAGGTTAGGAGTTCAAGACCAGCCTGGCCAACATGGTGAAACCACATCTCTACTAAAAATACAAAACTTAGCCAGGAGTGGTGGCAGGTGCCTGTAATCCCTGCTACTTGGGAGGCTGGGGTAGGAGAATCACTTGAACCTGGGAGGCGAAGGTTGCCATGAGCCGAGATCACACCATTGCACTCCAGCCTGGGCAACAAGAGTAAAACTTGGTCTCAAAAAAAAAAAAAAAAAAAAAAAAAAGAACAGTTATGACCTCTTAGGCCTTCTGGAAGGGGTCTTCGGGATCCCGAGAGGTCCACACAGCACATTTGGAGAACCACTGGTTTATACACAGGCACAATGCATTAGTTTTACAAAGTTTAAAGTTCATCAAAGACTGGCCTCTTAAAAAGGCAGATGAGTTTGTCATTCAAACAACAGAAAGTACATAAATACATCATGAGAGTATACTACAGAGAACTAAAGAGAAAGGAAGCTAGGAAATCTGAATCACATTTACATTTATTAAAGTTTACTACTACTGCTTTGTAGAACATTCTTGTGTTTCAATGTGTGGTTAGAAGAGTGAAAATATGTTTGGTTTATTGCCATGGCCTGTTAGGGAGAGTCAATACTCACGGGCATTTCTGACTGGTTATCATATAAAAGACTTCACGATACAGGCCATGATGTGCTGAGAAAGAAGAAGTCAGGAAACCCTCTGCAAGTCAGGATCCAATAGAAGAATTCATAAAAACTGCTTTGGTAAAGTAAACACCAAAGCACACAGGAGGCAGTATTTTACTAAACAAATATTATACTAAGATATTAACAGTTTTTGAAGTAATGCGCTTTCTTATTTTATAGAGATGCAGATAGAACTTTGAGCATACCTGATGAACAGTTACACTCATTTGCGGTAAGTGGCACTTTTATTGAGGTTGTATTTTCATCATACACTTGTATCTGTTTCATGCTGAAGTCAAAGCCATCTTTTTTTAAATCTTCCCCATTTCATGTTGCATTTAGTCATCTTAAGTGTTGTAAAAAGAATGTGCTGGAGTAAGAACTGATCTGCAGCTCTGTTTAGTTAGTGAGCTAGTATGAGTAAATATACTATCCAAACAACAGAAGATGTATCTTTTTTTTTTTTTTTTTTTTTATGGACTCTCTTTCTGTAGCCCAGGCTGGAGTGCAATCGCGCGATCTTGGTTCACTGCAGGCTCTGCCTCCCAGGTCCCTGTTCAAGCAATTCTCCTGCCTCAGCCTCCTGAGTAACTGGAATTACAGGCATGTGCCACCATGCCCAGCTAATTTTTTTTTCTTTTTTTTTTTTGTAAAGACAGGGTTTCACCATGTTGGCCAGGATGGTCTTGAACTCCTGACCTCGTGATCCACCCACCTTGGCCTCCCAAAGTGCTGTGATTACAGGTGTGAGCCACCATGCCTGGCCCAGAAAATGTATCTTTTTAAAAGGTAATTGTGAGCTGTCTATAGGACCCTGCAAGCCACTACCCAATTTTTGAAGCCATTCCTCCTCCTGTTCCACACAGGTTTCCACCGTGCACATTATGAAGAAAAGAAATGGAGGTGGGAGTTTAAATAACTATTCCTCCTCCATTCCATCGACTCCCAGCACCAGCCAGGAGGACCCTCAGTTCAGTGTTCCTCCCACTGCCAACACACCCACGCCCGTTTGCAAGCGGTCCATGCGCTGGTCCAACCTGTTTACATCTGAGAAAGGGAGTGACCCAGACAAAGAGAGGAAAGCCCCGGAGAATCATGCTGACACCATCGGGAGCGGTAGAGCCATCCCCATTAAACAGGGCATGCTCTTAAAGCGAAGTGGGAAATGGCTGAAGACATGGAAAAAGAAATACGTCACCCTGTGTTCCAATGGCATGCTCACCTATTATTCAAGCTTAGGTGATTATATGAAGAATATTCATAAAAAAGAGATTGACCTTCAGACATCTACCATCAAAGTCCCAGGAAAGTGGCCATCCCTAGCCACATCGGCCTGCACACCCATCTCCAGCTCTAAAAGCAATGGCCTATCCAAGGACATGGACACCGGGCTGGGTGACTCCATATGCTTCAGCCCCAGTATCTCCAGCACCACCAGCCCCAAGCTCAACCCGCCCCCCTCTCCTCATGCTAATAAAAAGAAACACCTAAAGAAGAAAAGCACCAACAACTTTATGATTGTGTCTGCCACTGGCCAAACGTGGCACTTTGAAGCCACGACGTATGAGGAGCGGGATGCCTGGGTCCAAGCCATCCAGAGCCAGATCCTGGCCAGCCTGCAGTCATGCGAGAGCAGTAAAAGCAAGTCCCAGCTGACCAGCCAGAGCGAGGCCATGGCCCTGCAGTCGATCCAAAACATGCGTGGGAACGCCCACTGTGTGGACTGTGAGACCCAGAATCCTAAGTGGGCCAGTTTGAACTTGGGAGTCCTCATGTGTATTGAATGCTCAGGTATCCACCGCAGTCTTGGCCCCCACCTTTCCCGTGTGCGATCTCTGGAGCTGGATGACTGGCCAGTTGAGCTCAGGAAGGTTATGTCATCTATTGTCAATGACCTAGCCAACAGCATCTGGGAAGGGAGCAGCCAGGGGCAGACAAAACCCTCAGAAAAGTCCACGAGGGAAGAGAAGGAACGGTGGATCCGTTCCAAATATGAGGAGAAGCTCTTTCTGGCCCCACTACCCTGCACTGAGCTGTCCCTGGGCCAGCAGCTGCTGCGGGCCACCGCTGATGAGGACCTGCAGACAGCCATCCTGCTGCTGGCACATGGCTCCTGTGAGGAGGTGAACGAGACCTGTGGGGAGGGAGACGGCTGCACGGCGCTCCATCTGGCCTGCCGCAAGGGGAATGTGGTCCTGGCGCAGCTCCTGATCTGGTACGGGGTGGACGTCATGGCCCGAGATGCCCACGGGAACACAGCGCTGACCTACGCCCGGCAGGCCTCCAGCCAGGAGTGCATCAACGTGCTTCTGCAGTACGGCTGCCCCGACGAGTGTGTGTAGTATCTGTTTTATTTGACTGCAGTCTCCTTGGTGCAAAAACAAAATGGGAAAAATAAGGATAACTCAGAATTTCAAAAGGAAATCACAAATTCAGCTAATATTAGCATTTTCAGTACTTTTCGTAAACTAAGTAAATACACAAAATGTTGATTTTTCTGACCATAAGACGTATTTTATGTCCTTCTGCCAAGGTGGATTTGTTAGTCTCAGGCCCTCCTGGCCACATTGCCCAAGTCACACAGGCTTCTGTATTATGTATTTAGATAAAATGTGTGAAAACATATTTGAAATAAAGTTCATAAATATGCATTGATTTTTGTACACATGGCACCTCTTTTTCATTTTTATTTTTATTTTTTTTGGACGATGTTTTGCTCTGTCACCCCAGCTGGAGTGCAGTGGCGTGATATCTGCTCACTGCAAGCTCTGCCTCCCGGATTCACACCATTCTCCTGCCTCAGCCTCTCAGGTAGCTGGGACTACAGGTGCCTGCCACCACACCTGGCTAATTTTTTGTATTTTTAGTAGAGACGTGGTTTCACCATGTTAGCCAGGATGGTCTCGAACTCCTGACCTCGTGATCCACCTGCCTCGGCCTCCCAAAGTGTTGGGATTACAAGCGTGAGCCACCGTGCCCAGCCCATGGCACCTCTCTTAATTTATAAATTGAACTGGATGTGAAGTAATAATGTCAGTTAGTTGAGATAAGAGGGTTACAGATTGGCTGGGCGCAGCGGCTCACACCTGTAATCCTAGCACTTTGGGAGGCCTAGGCGGACTGATCACCAGGTCAGGAGATTGAGACCATCCTGGCTAACATCATGAAACCCCATCTCTACTAAAAAATACAAAAAATTAGCTGGGCATGGCCGGGCGTGGTGGCTCACACCTGTAATCCCAGCACTTTGGGAGGCCGAGGCAGGCGGATCACAAGGTCAGGAGATCAATACCATTCTGGCTAACATGGTGAAACCCCGTCTCTGCTAAAAATACAAAAAAAAAACTTAGCCAGGTGTGGTGGCGGGCACCTGTAGTCCCAGCTACTTGGAAGGCTGAGGCAGGAGAATGGCGTGAACCCAGGAGGCGGAGCTTGCAATGAGCTGAGATTGCACCACTGCACTCCAGCCTGGGCGACCAAACGAGACTCCATCTCAAAAAAAAAAATTAGCTGGGCATGGTGGCGGGCACCTGTAGTCCCAGCTACTTGGGAGGCTGAGGCAGGAGAATGGCATGAACTCAGGAGGCAAAGCTTGCAGTGAGCAGAGATTGTGCCACTGCACTCCAGCCTGGGCAACAGAGCGAGACTCGGTCTCAAAGAAAAGAAAAAGAGGGTTACAGATCACTGCACATGGAAAATATTCCCAGCAGTAAACACTTCCATTAATGTGATCTACAGCTTTTAAAAAGGAGCATCTCAGAATAAGATGGTGGTACAATTTGCTGATTGAGAAAGGAAAAAAAAAAACAACACATGAGTATATTACAAAGGGAAAAGAAGGAATGTGATTTCTCATGATTGAAAGCTTGATTTAGATCGCATACAGCTTTTGCTACCCAAGACCAAGCGGCTCTGGCAAGACAGGGTTGTTTTCCGAATGCCAGACCGAGGTGCCTTATGAAGGCAGCTGCCGATGGTTCCAGATGTAGAGAGATAGGTGATGCAGGAGGGAAAGCTGGATTGGAAAAGGGAGAGTTTTGTAGACGGGCTACGCTCATTGTGCCTTTGAAAGAGCAGAGCCGGCAGCCTGTAGTCATCATTTGGATATACAGGACTAGAGCATGAATCTGATATAGAGCTACAGAATGAAGAGCAACAGCAGCTGTTTAAATACCGAGAAAGTGTGTAGAATGAAATGGGACAAGCCAAGCATGGTGTTTTCATGCCTTTAGTCCTAACTACTTTGGAGGCTGAGATGGGGGAATTACTTGAGCTCAGCAGTTTGAGTCCAGCCTGGGCCAGATGGTGAGACCCTGTATCTTAAGAAAAGAAAAAATAAGACCAGGTACAGTATCTCATGCCTGTAATCCCAGCACTTTGGGAGGCCAAGTTGAGAGGACTGCTCGAGTGTAGGACTTCAAGACCAGACTGGGCAATAAAGTGAGACCCATTTCTACCAAAAAAAAATCAAGAAATTAGCTGGACATGGTGGCACATGCCTGTGGCCCCAGTTACATGGCATGGCAGGCTGAGGCAGGAAGTTCACTTGAGCCCAGGAGGTGGAGGCTGCAGTGACCCATATTCATGCCACTGCACTCCAGCCTGGGCAACAGAGTGAGACCCTCTCTCAAAAACAGATAAAGTGGACAGAAAATAGGTCGGTAAGGACTAATCATTTAAGGGACAAGCCCCCAGAAGAGTGGCTACTAGAGTGGGAGGAGGAAAAGCAGAAGGAGAAAGAGTTGAAGATAGGCGAGGCTGTGGTCCCAGTGCTGAATTCTGCCAAGCAGTGACTTGATTCATGAACACTCACTGGATGCTGACTCTGTTGCTCTTCTGAGTGCTGGGGTAGAGGAGAGGAGAGGTGGAGCACAGTTCTTGCTTTTATGAGCTTATGTTCTAGGAAATTCAAACAAGTATTTTTTCAGGTAGTATGAAATAGCAGGAAGAGGAAGCAGGCTAAAGGGACACAGAGTGATTGGGGGCTATTTTAAGTAGAATGATAAGGAAGAGCCTGTCTAGAGAGCTATTTGAACAGTGACCTGACTGAAGGGACAACAGAAAGCAGTGCTGACATTACAGGTAGCAGGATGACTGCCAAGACAGAAACGCATTTCATATGTGTTTGAGGAACAAACAGCAAGGTGACCAGCATGGGGAGAGTGAAGAATGAGGGAAACCTTGAATGAGAATAAAGCAATTCCATTTTGGATGCTAATCTGCCATATTCTGATTAATCCCAGTTCCAAGAATTCATCTACGATTTCTATTTTATCTTTTTAACAAAATTATTTTTTATTTTTTATTTTTTGAGACTGAGTCTCACTCTGTCTCCCAGGTTGGACTTCAGTGGCACAATCTCAGCTCACTGCAAACTTCACCTCCTGGGTTCAAGCGATTCTCCTGCCTCAGCTTCCCGAGTAACTGGGATTACAGGCGCCTGCCACCACGCCTGGCTAATTTTTGTATTTTTAGTAGAGACGAGGTTTTACCGTGTTGGCCAGGCTGGTCTGGAACTCCTGACCTCAGGTGATCCGCCCACCTTGGCCTCCCAAAGAGCTGGGATTGCAGGCGTGAGCCACCGTGTCTGGCCATACACATCCCTGCTGAAGCCCGCATTACCCTTCCCCTATGCTATAGAAGCCCTGGGTCGGGGGGGTGGGGGTAATGGCACAGGGATCCACCATCTTATCTTGGTGCCATCCCTGACTTGCCTTCTGTTCATAAACGCCTATTAAATGTTTCTTTCTGAGAAACTGGATTTGTCAGCCTCTTTCTTTGGTATCTCAGGTTCCTTGGCCTTTGCGGGTAGGTTTATATAGACCTGCTCAGCACAGGACAGGCAGTTTCTCAAAAAATTAAAAATAGAATTACCAAATGATCCGGCAATATCACTTCTGGGTATATAGCCAAAATAATTGAAAGCAAGGTCTCATAGAAATATGTGTACACTGATATTTATAGCAGTGGTATTCACACTCGTCAAAAGATGGATGCAGCCGAATTGTCCATAGGCAGATGAATTGATAAAATGTGGTATATACATACAATAAAATATTCTTCAGCCTTAAAAAGGAAGGAAATTCTAACACATGCTACAACATGGATGAACATTGAGGACATTATGCTAAGTGAAATAAGCCAGTTAGAAAAAGACAAATACTGTGTTCTTTCACTTATGTGAAGCGTCCAGACTGAGTAAGCAAACTAATAGAAACAGAAAGTAGAACGGGGGTTGCCAGGGACATGGGGAAGGGAGAAAATGGGAAGTTGCTTAGTGGATATAGAGTTTTGGTTTTGTCAGATGAGAAAGTTCCGGAGATTGGTTGCATGGCAATGTGAATATACCCTACATTACCCAACCCAAGGGCTCTCCTTGACCCTGTTCCAACTGTCACTTAGAAGTGGTTAAGGTAGTAAATTTTATGTGTGTTTTACCACAATTCAAAATAGAATTATTATTTTTTTATTATAATTTTTTGAGATCCCTCACTCTGCTGCCCAGGCTGGAGTGCAATGGCGCCGTCTCGGCTCACTGCAACCTCTGCCTTCTGGGTTCAAGCGATTCTCCTGCCTCAGCCTCCCAAGTAGCTGGAACTTACAGGCACATGCCACCATGCCCAACTAATTTTTGTATGTTTAGTAGAGACAGGGTTTCACCATGTTTGCCAGGCTGGTCTCGAACTCCTGACCTCAGGTGATCCACCTGCCTTGGCCTCCCAAAGTGCTGGGATTACAGGTGTAAGCCACCATGCCCAGCTGTCAAAATAGTTTTTTTTGTTTTTTTTTTTTTTTTTGAGATGGAGTTTTGCTTTTGTTGGCCAGGCTGGAGTGCAATGGCAGGATCTCGGCTCATGGCAACCTCCACCTCCCGTGTTCAAGCAATTCTACTGCCTCAGCCTCCCGAGTAGCTGGGATTACAGGCACGCACCACCATGCCCAGCTAATTTTGTATTTTATTTTAGTAGAGATGGGGTTTCTCCATATTGATCAGGCTGGTCTCCAACTCCTGACCTCAGGTGATCCACCCACCTCGGCCTCCCAAAGTGCTGGGATTACAGGTGTGAGCCATTGTGCCTGGTCTTTTTTTTTTTTTTTTTTTTTTTTTTGGGATGGACCTTCGCTCTTGTTATCCAGGCTGGAGTGCAATGGCACGATCTCAGCTCACTGCAGCCTCTCCTCCTGGGTTCAAGCGATTCTCTTTCCTCAGCCTCCTGAGTAGCTGGGATTACAGGCATGCACCACCACGCCTGGCTAATTTTGTATTTTTAGTAGGTATGGGGTTTCTCCATGTTGATCAGGCTGGTTTTGAACTCCTGACCTCAGGTGATCCACCCGCCTCGGCTTCCCAAAGTGTTAGGATTACAGGCGTGAGCCACTGCGCCTGGCCTGAAAAAAAATTTTAAAGTTTGAGAAAATACAAAATTTTCATAGTCTCCATGTATTTCTCCTAAGATCTTTCCCCGTATGAGGGGGAAAGATAGTAACTTTACAACGGAGAAAACCAGCAGAAACCTGAACCAAATGAACAAGTTCAACATCATCAGTAAGAAGCACTATCAATGCCATAACTCTGATGGAATGCACTGGGAAGGATTCCACATCATTTTTGTGCTGTAATTGCCAAAAGTGTGTAACTTCAGTCCAATCATGGAAATACATCAGACAATCCCAAATCGAAGAACATTTGACAAATAGTGATCAGTACTGTTTCAAAATGTCACGGTTATGAAAGATAAGGAAAGACTGAGGAACTGTTATTGCAGTCCTACAAAACGGCGAGAGACTAAGAAATAACTAAATGCAGCGTGATCCTGGGTGGAATTTGGGAACAGAAAAAGGACATTAGTGGAAAAAGTGGTGAAACTCCAATAAGGTCTTTTGTTTAGCGAATATGTTCATTTTAAATTAGTTAAATTATTTAAATATATTTAAACATTATTTAAATGTATTAAATTAATAAAATTGGTTATTTTGTGAAATAATTTTAATATAGTTAAATATGAGAATGTGGATTTCCTGGTTCTGATCACCGTACTGTGGCTATCTAAGAGGTGAATGTTCAGGGAGGCTGGGGGAGGAATAAATGGAAATTATACTATTGAGTTGGAAGAGAGAAACCTACCCCATCAGTCACAAAACCCTCACATTCATGGCAGTGTGCCGGAGGTTCCAGTATGAATGGCATTTCCCAGATGTCAGTGCAAGGTCCCTGTGGAGGGAGTGGGGCTCCCTGGGAATCTAGTGGAGAGCATTCGGGGCTCCCTTCCTCAGGAGCCTGCCCTTCCTGCACAGAAGCATCAGCCTCACCTCTGTACCACTGCCCCTCTGCCTCTCAGAACCCACTCGGCTTCAGGAAGTTTCTACTGCCGGCCTCCTTTCCTGGATACAGCCTCCAGGGACTCAGCCCTGCCTTCCCAAGTGTTCCCGCCACTCTTGGGAAGGGGCGCTCTCAGATCCCGCACCCCTGGACTTCCCTGGGCACCACCTGCTCCTTCTTTCTTCACTTCTCCAGCTCTGCGTTCTCACTCTGAGGGTCCTCTCCTGCTGGGAGTGTGTGTTGCTGGCAACAGTGAAGATTCTCCCCTGGGTGGCCCCCCCATGCCCTGTTCTTCTGCACTTCCCTGGCTTCCTGTGTTGGTTCTGCTGGTGTCACCTGCTTTTGGGTTTACATGGCTTCCCAGCTTCCTAACTTCTCTGAAGTTGAGTTTGATGTGTGTGTTGATGATGGGCTTTTTCTTCCTCCTCCTCCTCCCCCTCCTCAGTCTTGTCGTTGCTCCACATAGTTTCCAGAAGGAGAAAAGGGACACTGTAAAATTAAACTGCTGCAGGCCGGGCACAGTGGCTCACGCCTGTAATCCCAGCCCTTTGGGAGGCCGAGGCGGGCTGATCACCTGAGGTCAGGAGTTCGAGACCAGCCTGGCCAACATGGTGAAACCCCATCTCTACCAAAAATACAAAAATCAGCAAGGCATGGTGGCATGTCCCTGTAATCCCAGCTACTTGGGAGGCTGAGGCAGGAGGATCTCTTGAACCTGGGAGGCAGAAGTTGCAGTGAGTCGAGATCATGCTACTGCACTTCAGCCTGGGTAACAAGAGCGAAACTCCATCTCAAAATAATAATAATAGTAATAATAATAATAATTAATAATAATAATGCCATGTTTCTATCAGACCCAGAAATCCCGCAGAGTGAGCTGGAATTCTCTGTTTATCTGTTTCCCCTTCATACCCACTGGCTCCTCTCTGCCCGCTCCTTCTTGGACTGCATCAGCAGGGTGCCTCACTGTCTGGCCCTAGTGGAATTCACACAGTGGAGGACGTCATAGGAGGTGGGAGAGAGAGAGAGAGGAGAGGTGGTTATTCGCTCAGGTTCTTCCTTGCTGGTTTGGCAGTGGCCACATCTTTCTACTGATGGCTGCAGCTCCTGATGATCCTCCTCTACAGCCACAGCCCTCTTTGGGATCTGTGGACACCTTTCCTGTCCCTCTAGACCCAGGGAGATAACAGCTCCCACTCTTGCTGGTCCAGGACATTCCTCATCTCTTACTGGTTCTCTTAACTCGGTCCACACTTCTGTGAACAGCCCCTTTCCTCAAGTACCCATTCGAATATGTCCTCTGGCTTCCACCAGGAGCCTGACTGATACCCACAGGTGGGTGAATGCTGGCGTGCTGCTGGGCCCCTCTTCCTCTGGTGACTGGCCAGGCAAGTCTCCAGGAGTCTCGTTAGGGTGGGCAGGCGGTGGGCACAGCACAAACTGTGAGCTCAAATCCACAGAACAAAAGTGGGAGAAGACGCTGGCAGGATGGACCGCCACAAAACTCTTGGCATTCGTGACGTCTGTCCTTTAAATCACGCAAGGCATCATCATGCTTCAGACATGAGACAGCCTAAGTATTTAAGTATTTCAAATAAACAGATTGTTTTTCAGAATTGGTAATTGCTAAGTTGGCAAATTGCTATTGGAAACATTGGCTGTCCTTGACTCAATGATTCAGCCAGCTAGTCCCTTGCCAAACTAGTTGGGCAAATTCCACCTTGAGAATTTATCTGCTCCTATCAAAGCCAGATTCTCCCTGCCTGAGGGGAGGCTGGACTTGACCTTCTGACTCAGGATATGCTGACTTGGGTCCCTAGGTCCAAGGGCGGCCCTCTTGGGCCCACTGTGGGCTGGACCTCTTCCATGATGGGGTGGTGGAGGGCAGGCACCACCTGATTCACCCTTGACCTCATCGAGGCAGGTGAAGTTCCCTGCAGGAGTCACCTGAACCCAGCCCCTCAGATCAGGATCCATCATGGTAAGGAGGATTTTGGGCTGTCTCAGGTTCTTTGGCTAGAAAAGGGTCCCGCTCTTAGGTGTCTGCCCCAGAGGTGGGACACAGAGGGCCTGCTGGGGTCCATGGGCTGGGCTGGGTGGGCGGGGATCTGGTCACAGCAGCAGCTAGAAAGCCAAGTGGGAGGGCACCAGGGCCTGGGGCCCCTGTCTGGTCCTGGGCCTCCCCGGGCCTCTTGCCTTCTCCCCAGCAGGCGTTTGGGATCTGTGTCTGGACCCAGCCTTACCCAGGAAGTCTAGGGCCATGGTGTGTTGTCATTAGAATCACAGTGCTCACGCCAAGGCATTGCATTAAAGCAGGGCAGGGTCTCATGGGCAGGGGACCAGTAGAGGGGGTGGAGGGAAGGGCAGTTGTCCCCAGAGGCTGTGGTGGGCCTGGCTCTGGGCTGGGCAGTGGGCCAGTGTCCTGCTGTGTGGCTGAGCTCTGACAACAGGCTGTCTGGGGTTGGTGAGCTCCTGAGAGAGGGGACTGGTGCAGAGTACCCTAGGGTGGGAGCTCATGAGGAGGGAGTCCGTGGGGTCTGGAAGCCATTCTAGAGCAGGCAGATGACACTTGTCAGGGGAACAGGCATAGAAAGGACCCCTGTGGGGGTGGGGGACATAGAGCCTCAAAAGAAACAGGGAAGGGGCTTTGACGGATCCAGGGAGCATCCCTGAGATTTCTTAGCCCAATTCCAACCAGCCATGTCCCAGGTGTCCCTCCCCCAGCACCCAACCCTCTGCAGTGCCAGCTCAATGCCCTGGGCAAAACATCCTGGACTCTGGCTGTTACAAGAGGAGGACAGGGTCATCTGGACCTGCCTGAACTCCAGGCCCCCCACTTTCACAGCCCCTTCTGGGTCCACAGGTTCATACGTATATAAATGAAAAATGTGCAAGAATCATATTACTGTATTCTTTTTCATAAAGAGGCCCCTCTAAATTGTTGAAGCCCCGAATCACCCCTGCCCAAAGGAGACAGCAATGGCATGTGTGGGGCCGTGGCCTTGAGACCCAGAGGTCCTGCTGCCCATGGTACCCACTGCCCACCCTAGGGGGACTGGCCATAGCCCTGGAGCCCCCAAACACCATGCAGGAATGCAAGAGGGTCTCAGCTCCCGAGTCCCAGGCTGGGAGGGCCCACAGTCCAGTAAACTAATCAGGCCCTGACATATCCAGTAGAGCAGCTCCGGGAGCCTGCATTGGGGAGAGGGCATCAGACCACTGCCCCAGGCCTGCACCCCAGAAGTAGGAGCATGGGAAGACCTCTCCTTGGCTCCTGGCCAGTGGAAGTCACATTCCCCAGCCCTCTGGCTCCAAGGCAACCTCATGTCCCAGTCACTCCTTGGCCCACCCCACCAGGTTGGCTCACTGCCAAAGGGCACCTCAGTGATGAGTGGAGGGAACAGGTGTTTACCAGGAGCTTGCATGCTTTGTCTCAGGGATGATTAGGGACACAGCCAAGAAGGCACACTATGCCCATTTTACAGATGAGGAAACGGAGGCTCAGGTTGGGCTGGTGACTAAGGAAAGCAGCATATGGCAGGTGGCTTGAGGCATGTCTGTCCATCATGAGTAACTAGGGAGCAGCCCTGCCACTCCTCATGTGATGCGCCAGGAGCCAGGGAAGCTGCTTTCTAGGGGATTCTAGGTAAGGCCAGAAGCATCTCCCTGAGTGGTGGTGGAGGCCTCTGTCTACTCCTCCAGGACTGCCAGGGGATAGGAGGGCACCGCTGACCTCACAGAGCCTCTTGGGTGAGTGAGCATCAGCTGAGTGGCGCCAGGTGACTATGCTTCTGCTCAGTGCTGTGCCCCCTTCTGCCTCGGTCAAGGCACCACCGTGAATGCCCCACCTGTCCCATGGAGGCCGCAAACTGCTCTGCAGAGCCAGGGTCTCCAGGAATGGGGAGGGCAGCCACCCTCACTCCACTTGTGTTTGTGACCCAAAGGACTGCCCGGGTCTCCAGGAATGGGGAGGGCAGCCACCCTCACTCCACTTGTGTTTGTGACCCAAAGGACTGCCCAGGTCTCCAGGCCCGTAGAACCCCCAAACCCCTGACTGGGCCACACTGGGGACCTTGAGCAGCAGACTTAGATTCTTAGGTCTTGTCTCCGGGTACATATCAGTGCCCAGGCTTGGGAAGCTTGGGTCTCAGGGGGGTTGGCACTCAGGCCCTCTGCCTCAAGGAAGGGGCATGTCCAGATCTCTCCTGTCCAGCCTCAGCCCTGCTCCCTGCCCCTATCCTTCACGGGGTCCCTAGGACAGGGTTACAGAAGTCTCATGCTGTCAGGCGATGCTGCCACCCCAGTGCCGGGGTGGCTCCACCCAGCCCCTTTCCTGCTACCGTCCTCACTGACTCACCTGTCCAGCCTCCTACTGGGCTGGGGCGAGGGCTTGTTGCCCCAGAGCCCAGACGAGCACCAGAGGCATCTCTAAAGGCACATTGGGCCAGTCCTCAGCATCCTAGTTGGCCACCATCTGCTGCCACATGATGCTGGGAGGCCTGGGGAAGCTGGCTGCCGAGGGCCTGGCCCACCGCACCGAGAAGGCCACCGAGGGAGCCAGTGAGGACCCGGGGCTCCTTTCTACCTGGGCTGGGGGGATCTGGGGCAGACTGGGTCCATTGGAGGTGGATGTTAGTAGGCAGGCGAGGACCTGCGGGGAGGCCTTGGCCCCTCAGGAACCCTGGAACCCTGGCTTCCAGCCCCACCAGGTCAGCACGGAGTTGAGGGTTGGAGAGCTGGGGAGGTCTCCTGGGGGCAGGGCATGAGTCCTGGTGCTGGGTGAACACTGGCAGCTTGGACCCTTCCCTCTGGAAATCTGGGGAGCCTTTCTTATCAAAACAGCCTATTCTGAATAACCTATGCAGGAAAAGGAAGATGGATTTTTATTTTTACCACAACTTTAAAGCTTCAAAGATTTCTTAAGAAATCACCCAAATCTGATCTGTTCAAAGTCAAAAAGGACATTTTCAATTTCATCCAAGTCCCCTAAAGCATGTTTATTTTTATTTTTATTTTTATTTGAGACGGAGTCTTTCTGTGTCCCCCAAGCTGGAGTGTACTGGTGCGATCTCGGCTCACTCTAACCTCTGCCTCCTGGGTTCAAGTGATTCTTGTGTCTCAGCCTCCCAAGTGGCTGGGATTACAGGCGCCCACCACCATGCCCGGCTAATTTTTGTATTTTAAGCAGAGACAGGGTTTCGCCATGTTGGCCAGGCTGGTCTCAAACTCCTGACCTCAAGTGATCCGTTCCTCTTGGCCTCCCAAAGTGCTGGCATGACAGGCGTGAGCCACTGCGCCCGGTCCTGAAACAAAAAAATTGTTTTGTATTCAGAGGTCAGCAGCTGTGTGTGTGTGTGGGGGGGGGGGGGGCCAAGCAAGGCCCCACCCATGGATCATCGTGTGAAAAACAGTCTTGCCTGAGTTTGTGTCCTCACTCTAAATGGCAGCAGACGTGTATTTTCTTTTTGACTCTGCAGCTGGTGTGGACCACCTGCTTTAACCTTTCACTAGCCTCTGAGTTTTCTATGATTCCTGTTGGGAGAAAAGCTGAGTGTTGGGAGAGCAGTGGGCCTGCTCTGAGCCCTCTCCCTGGACTGGGGGAGCAGTGGGCCTGCTCTGAGCCCCTCACCCTGAGCTGCAGGGGCAGTGGGCCTGCTCTATGCCCTCACCCTGGACTTTGGGGCCAGTGGACCTGCTCTGAGCCTTCACCCTGAACTCGGGGGCAGTGGGCTTGCTCTGAGCCCTCACCCTGGACTGTGAGGCCAGTGGACCTGCTCTGAGCCCTCACCCTGGACTCGGGGGCAGCGGGCCTGCTCTAAGCCCTCACCTTGAACATTCAAGATTTAAGAAAGTTTGCCAGCAACAGATTCTGTTGAAAAGAACTACTTAAGAAGTCCTCCTGCAAGAAATGACATGAATCCAGAGGAAGAAGCAGTGTGAAAAAAGTAACAATTCTCTAAGTAATCAGCCAATGCTATTATTTAAGACTAAAGTATTGATTGCCATGGATGCTTAAAATAACAATTTAGAATTAGAATTCTGGATTATATCAACAGGAGAGTTGGGGAAAAGGAAAACAGCGGGAGGAAGTGAACACTCATCTTGTTTGGGAAGAGTCTATATGTACTGTTTACCTTTAGATTTTGTTAGGCAACATTATATATGGATATAAAAAATTAAAAGTATTAGAAAAATAACAATGAAATGTATAAATTTCAAACCAGTAAAGGAAATAAGATGGAACAAAGAAATTTCAATCAACCCAACAGAAAGCAAGAACAGGGACAAAAAGAGAAACAGCATAATCAATAGAAAACACAAAGATAGGCCGGGCATGGTGGCTCACGCCTATAATCCCAGCACTTTGGGAGGCTGAGGAGGGTGGATCACTTGAGGTCAGGAGTTCAAGACCAGCCTGGCCAACATGGTGAAACCCTGTCTCTACTAAAAGTACAAAAATTAGCCGGGCTTCTTGGTGGGCACCTGTAATCCCAGCTACTTTGGAGGCTGAGGCAGGAGAATCACTTGAACTTGGGAGTCGGAGGTTGCAGTGAGCTGAGATCATGCCATTGTACTCCAGCCTGGGTGACAGGGCAAGGCTGTCTCAAAAAACCAAACCAAAACAAAATAACCCCACAAAGATAATAAAGTCCAAACAAATGAGTATTCATAATAAATGGGCAATAAGAAAAAAATCAAATGAATACCAAATAGGCAATTCATATGAAAATACTATTCAAGGAAATTAAAATTGCTAAGAAAGAAAAAATGCTCGATCTCACCATTTATCAAGGAAATACAAATAAAAGGGCATTGAGATGCTATTTTTACTGATTAGATTGGCAAGTATTTTTAACTTTGATAACAAATGTTAGCCGGAGTTGGGCAAATGGGTACCCTCATGTCCCACCAGAGGGAGTGCATATTAGTGCAGTCAATTTGGAGGGCATCTGACATATCTATTAAAACCAAAACATTTGCATGTGTGTGCAAGAAAGTATAGTCAAGATTATCTTAGCAACATTGCTGGTAGCAGTGAGATATTGGCAATGATCTAAAGGTCCATCATTGGGAGAATAACTACATGAACTATTGTATGTTCCTACCACAGAATACTCTGCAGCAGTTAAAAACAGTAACTTAGAATCATTTCTTTCTTTTTTCATTTTCTTCTTCCTTCCTTTCTCTCTCTCTCTCTCTCTCTCTCTCTCTCTCTCTCTCTCTCCCTTTCTTTCTTTGAGACAGAGTCTTGCTCTGTCTCCCAGGCTGGAGTGCAGTGGTACAATCTCGGTTCACTGCAATCTCTGCCTGGCAAGTTCAAGTGATTCTCCTGCCTCTGCCTTCCAAGAAGCTGGGATTGCAGGTGCCCACCACCATGCTTGGCTACTTTCTGTATTTTTAGTAGAGATGGGATTTTACCATGTTGGCCAAGCTGGTCTCGAACTTCTGGCTTCAGGTGATCCACCTGCCTTGGCCTCCCAAAGTGCTGGGATTACAAGTGCCCCCCACCAGATTCATTTCTTATAGTACGAGTAGACTTACTGTGACTACTTAAAAATTTTCAGAAGGAAAGGAACAGAAACATATTTTATATGTGTAAAGCCACATAAGACAACACTACCGTCTTTTCACAAAGCCCTTTCGCCTTCCCGCTTGCCCTCTTCTTTCCCCTATCCTGCTTGCCACCCTCTTTTTGCCCTCCATCTACCCCAAAACTATTCTCCCCATCGTCTTTTTCCCAATCCTCTTTCCTACCTCCCTCTCGCCACCCTCTTTTCTCCTCCCACTTGCCACCTTCTTTTCCCCCCTCCATCCACCCAAAAGCTTTTTACCCACCGTTTTTCTTTCTGCACCGTCTTTCTTTTCTGCCCTCTGTCTTTTCGCAAAACCTTCTCTCCCTCCCGCTCGCCACCCTCTTTTTCCTTCTCCCACTTGTCACCCTCCTTTCCCCATCCAGCTACCCAAAAACATTTTCCCCCACGGTCTTTTCGGAAAACCTTGTCTCCCTCACTCACCACTCTCTTTTGACCCCTGCTGCTCTCCACCCTCTTTTCCCTCTCCATCTACCCAAAAACATTTTTTCCTCACTGTCTTTCCCCCCTCGCCATCTTTTCACAAAGCCTTCTCCCTGCTCCTGCTCACCACCCTCTTCTTCCCCACTCCTGTCCCCTCTCCCACATGCCACCCTTTTTTCACCCTCCATCTACCCCAAAACTATTTTTCCATCGTCGTTTTCCCAACCCTCCTTCCCACCTCCTGCTTATCACCTTCCCCCCTCCATCTACCCAAAACCTTTTCCCCCACTCTTCTCCCCACCGTCTTTTATGCCTCCTGCTCGCCACCCTCTTTTCCCGCTCCATCTACCCAAAAACTTTCCTCCCCACTGTCTTTTCTCCCCACTGTCTTTTCACAAAACCTTCTCTCCCTCTTGCTCGCCCCGTTTTCTCCCCCCTTTACCAATCTCTCTTTAGTCCTCCCACTTGCCACCCTCCAGGGTCAGGCCCTAAGTCCTGGCACTCTGGACGCACCCCACCGTCAGCAGGGAGAGGCGCAGGGCTGGGAGGGGCCTGGAGTCTTGCCTGGGGCATCACTTTTGCAAATTTATTTTGTGCGGGCCTCGGTTTCTCTGGCAGCGATTCCAATGGAAGCCAGCTTCAAGCCTTGGAACACCGGCATTTCCCGGCCTAGTGTCACAGCGGCGTCTCTCCCGCCCCCAGGACGTGCGCAGTGCTTGGCACAAGGGTGGCAGCAATGCCAGCTTCAGCAGCACAGTATGGCCACACAGGCCCAGGCCCCGGCCCGGGTTCGCGGGTTCGCGTTAGTGCGGCTCTGCCGGAGTAGGCGCAGAGCTTTGGGAGTTCTGAACCCCTAAGCGCGAGTCGGGCGGGGGAGCCCAGGAGCTTCTCGGAGGCCTCAGTGAGCGGCCCATGGGGACAAGCGTCCAGTCAGGGGCATGTCAGAGCCGGTGTCACATGTGCGTGCACTAGGGGAAGGCAGCCTGGGGTCGCTCCCTGGGGCCATCTGCCTGCAGGAATGAGTCCACCGACTTGTAGCTGAGCTGCAAGGGCGTCAGGCAGCGGAAAGTGCCAGGAGAGTGGGGGATCTGCACGCAGGCCCTCTGTGAGGACACCACCATCTCCCCAGGAGACAGCCAGGGTGGCACTCTGGCGACGAGGCTGGGGTCTCAGTACTCGCCCTGACACCACCCCCCTCCCTCGTCTCCTCAGCATCATAGTTGGGGGCCTCCTCCGTGTCTGAAATTTGCAAGTCTTTCTCCTGAATGGTGAAATTGTGCACGGGGCTCTACCTGGGCAGCTTCCTATTGGGGATGCTGCTGTTTTACCGCTTCTGGGCGCTCTTTGGCTTGTACAGCTTGGCTGCCTTCTTGTTCTGGTTGATCCTGAGCTTGCTCAACTTGAAGGACTCCAGGTGCTTCCTCATGGACCTGTGGAAGATTTCCCGGTCCCGCTTCTTGTCCTCAGTTGGTGTGGCTGTAGCGATGCATGTACTCCTTCCCCGGCTTGCACAGGTACTGCTGCAGCGTGTGGTGCGTGACGGGGTCCTCCCCATACGGAATGCTCTGCCACACTGCTCCAGGGACTGAACGTCCAGACAGACGGCACTGATGTTCTCCCTCAGAAGGTAGGAGACAGAGGCCACCATGGTGGACAATCGTGCCGTGAAGTCCATGTTGACGACGTTATCAGTACTTGGGGAGCTGATGAAGGCCACGGACCTTAGGCACTCTCCTTTGGTGGCTTAGCTGATGGCATCCTTCAGGTTCAGCTCATGGAAGACATTGAGGATCCCATATGGAGACTTCTGGGCCAGCATTCTCATGAGAACCCCACTGAGGAACTTCCTGTCAAAGTGGGACCACATCTCTCTGAGATAGTTGTGCCTGATATGCCGGGATATGTCCTTGATGGCCAAGAGGATGTGGTTGAAAGCATGGTGGTGCAGCTTCTCATGGAGCTTGGGCTCCTGGTGCTCACTCCTCTTCACCTTCAGCCACTGCACCAGGGACTTGATGGTCAGCCCCTGGAAAATGACTGTGAAGAAGATGATGACGGTGGTGCTGACAAACAGGTTCTTCTCCTTGACCTTGTTTCTGTCCGGAAGCATGACCAGGATGAAGGCCATGGCCCCATGCAGGCCTCTATAGGACATGACCACCTGGTCTATGATCTCCAGCTGCATCATCCAATAGCACTACAGGAGTCAGGACTGGATGACACCATGGCTCGGTACATGAAGGTGTAGGCCAGTGCAGGAGGATGAAGGCCATGTTCCACGTCCAGATGAGCAGGTTCATGACCGAGATGCCCAGGGATATGAAGATTGTATTGACACCACTGGCCAGCATCTTCACGGTGTAGTGCATGGTGTTGGCCGACTGCTCCAAGATGTTGGCCTTCATGTACTTATGACAGCAGATGCCACAGAAGATAATGGCCAGGATGGCCAACAGCAACAGCTTCTCAGACGTCCTATGGACGGGTAGGAGATGACTAACACAAAACCAGGCTAGATGATGTGCACATGCTTGGTGAAGTGGGTCACCAGTGACAGCAGGAAGGCAAAGACCACCCCACAGTCATGCCCCCCAGGCTCACCACAAAGGACACTACACTTTTGGCATGGTCCACGCTGATCATGTTCTCATCATCCAGTGTCACAAAAGATTGAAACACATTGTACAGTCATTCAGTAGCAACTCCCTGAAGATGATGATGAACAGGACCTCATTGACATGAACTTCCTCAAACCCAACCAGTATGGCTGCTGGGTCCACAGTGGTGATCAGGCTGCCGAACAGGAGGAAGTCCAGCAGCCCTATCTGCAGGTTGCCCATGAGCCTGCTAAGAGAGATGCCATAGAGGAACAGGATGGTGGTGGCTGCATTGCACACAGTGCTGATGACCTGGTACAGCAGGATGGTGCCCAGATTGCCAAAGAAGAGCCGGTTGGGCATGAAGTAGTCGGCATCTGCATGATGGGGGACGTCAACATGAAGTCGCTATGTGGTCGGCCACCCAGATGATGCTGCCCAGCACCAGGCCCAGGACGATGAGCAGGGGTGCTCTCAGGGACCACGGTGATGCCTTGTGGGACAGGTAGAACCAATCTTGGCCAGCCTGACCACAAGGATGCAGATCGCAATCAGGTACTGGTCCTGGACATTGGCCCATTCAAAGGCGGCCACGTGGGAGCCCTGGCTCACATCGTGTACACTACCGTGCTCCTCCTCGACACCCCCTCGCCCGTAGCAGCCACCCAGCACCAGCGCCACTGCCATCAGCAGCCACCGGCAGCAACATCAGTGCTCCATCTCCATGCCAGCCTGGGACACGCATGTTGTGGGGAGTCCCAGCTGTGCTCAACTGATGCACCATGCTGGGGCTGCTGAACACACAACCCAGCAAGGAGCCCAGCTGCCTTTGGGGCCGTTGCTGATGGCAGTCCCCTTGTTTTGTTTTTTAATCACACATCACTTTTTTAAGTACACACACATAAAATATCACTGAAATGAGATATTCTTAGAACTTTTTTTAGTTCAAAGTTCATCTTCTGTAATACTTTTGACTTAAAATCATCAGTGCCCTCATTTTTCCACACATTGTTTTCTGTTCCATCAAGAGAAAGGGACAACAAACTATCACCCATGAGCCAAATGTGGTCCTTCCTTTGCTTTTGCAAATAAAGATTTGTTGGAACACAGCTACAATCCTATGACTGCTTTCAGGCCCTGATGACAGAGTTAAGTGGTTGCAGCTGAGCCTGTATAGCTTACAAACCAAAAATATTGCCTACCTGGCCCTTTGCACAAAACATTTGGTGGCCCTTGATTGAGGAGCGCAGGAAGTGAAGCATTTCTTGCAAGCATGTCCACTCATCCTGGGGATGTTTTTTGTTTTTTTGAGATGGGGTCTCATTGTTGCTCAAGCTAGAATGCAATGGCACAATCCTAGCTTTCTTCAGCCTGGAACTCCTAGACTCAAATGATGCTCCCACCTCAGCCTCCTGGGTAGCTGGGACTACAGACACAGGTAACCATGTCCAGGTAATTTTCAAGTTTTTTTTTTTTTTTTTTTTTTTTTTTTTTTTGTAGAAATGGTGGTCTCACCATGCTGTCCAGGCTGGTATCGAACTCCTGGGCTTCAGTAATCCTCCTGCCTTGGCCTCCAAAAGCTGTGGGATTACAGTTGTGAGCCACTGTGCCCAGCCTGGGATGGTTTTTAAGTCCCATTTTTAAGTCCTGTTTTAAGTTTTTAAGTACTTGGTTGTTGCTTTGCAAGAAAACCTGGATTGCAGACCTCCCTGCAGGGATGAATATGTGTCTGTCTCACCAACATCACACAGGCATTCTGCTGCTTTGTTCCCAGGCTTCTTGCGTGCACACTAGCTTTTCAATTCAAAGCTGAATCACAGTCGAACTTTCTGAAGACATTTAAAATAGCACCTATACTCCACATGTGAAATAACCATGCCCAAATCTTAATTGATGTGACAACGCTATGAACCGCTGTGGCTGAGTCTGTATGAGACCAGGCAGGACAGCCATGTCACAGTTGTGATTAGAAGACCCAGCTAAATTTCAGGTATATGAAAATGTGAAAAATCAAGATGTGTATCTTTATATTGATGAAATACTGCAATGCTCCTCCCTTAGGTTATAAGCATGTGTGGTTAAATCAAGACAGTGCATGCGAACACTGAGCCATGTTCAGGACACACTTGGCACTCAGTAAATGTTGTTGAGATGAATTTAGTGGAGGGATGGTGACATTGCTCTCCTGACAAACCCACTTGAGATAAAGCAGGAGAGAAGTCTTGTAGGCAAATCCCATGGAGAAAAGGCCCGGCTGCTGGGAGGCAGGTGTGTGGGAGTTGTGGGGAGGAGGTTTCTGGGTATTGTCTGTGGGATGGGACCTAGAGCTCAGCTGTCATCTCTTTGTTTTGTTTTTGTTTTTGTTTTTGTTTTTTGATGGAGTTTCACTCTTTGTTGCCTTGGCTAGAGGGCAGTGGTGTGATCTCGGCTCACTGCAACCTTCACCTCCCAGGTTCAAGAGATTCTCCTGTCTCAGCCTCCCAAGTAGCTGGGATTACAGGTGACTGACACCACACCTGGCTAATTTTTGTATTTTTAGTGCAGACAGGGTTTCACCATGTTGGCCAGGCTGGTCTCGAACTCCTGACCTCAGATGATCTGCCTGCCTCGGCCTCCCAAAGTGTTGGGATTACAGGCTTTTTGTCTTTTAAGCTTTGCCAAGATAAATGCCTTCTGTTTGGAAAGGATGATTTTCAAGAGGGCCAGAACCTCCTTCCTGGTTCTAAAGGAAGTTTGGGCCAGGGCCCCTTGAGCTTAGGGGAAGGCATGAGTGCAAAAGTGATGGGGGCAGGTGGTTTTCATAGCTGGATGATGTAGAATGCATTGTGGAAGGGTGGCTGCAAGTGGCTTTGCTTAGCTTGGCCACCTGGAAGGAGGCTTAGGGTCTTCCAAGTGGCCAGGGCCTTGAGGGGATTAACCCAGCCTCTTGGTTCCAGTTATGTATGTGGTTCTTGAGTCAAATGGGCCAGGGTCTATATCCACGGTGACTCCAGCATCATGGCCAAGCCTGAGTCCTCCTCTGTCTGCAGAGGGATGACATAGAGGCCATGCCAGGGATTTCTGTCCCCACATCACACAGCTGATGTCATGACCTAGAAGTGAACAGTAAGCCAGCTGATGAAGGGGTCTGTGGGGAACCTAGACTATGAAAAGAGGTAGGGCACTGGGTCTGCCACACATCCCCTGGGTCCCTTCATTCCCCTTGGCACAGGGAAGTTCCTCTCCTGGGGAGGAGAGGCTTGCACCCTGCCCCTGCTTCTGCCCGCTACTCTGCCTGGTTGTTACGGCCACTTGGCTCAGCCTCCCTTGCAGCTGTGGCCTCATGGGAAACTCAAAGTCTCAGGAGGATCCAGAAACCAAGACTCTTGGGACATGGAATTTGGCAATGCCCTGGTCAAAACCATCCAGAGGGAGAAATCTTTACAAAGATCTCCTAAGACTGCAAATGGCAAAATGTTTCCCAGTCTCCAGCATCCCTTTCCCAGCACTCAAGGGAAGACAAGAGGTGTTAGTGAGTATCTGATCCAGGGCTGCATCTCCTGTGAAATCTTGTGATTTATAAGATCCAGCAAAGGCTTTAGTCAGGCTAGGAAGAAATTCTGAAACAGGGGATTCCCTGCTGGAAAGCCTGTATGCCAGCACAATTAGGAAAGACTTCAGGAAGAACAAAGGAAGCCATGGTGCAAAGGTGTGGCCGACCCAAATATTTCAGCTTGAGGAGCCTTGGCTGCTGTTGGGAATGAGAAGCAATGGCGTTGGCTGCTCCAAGTCCACATGTAATCGATATATATATATATATATATTTTTTTTTTTTTTTTTACTTGTTTTGCTTTTTTAAGAAACTTTTTGGAGACATAATCTCACTCTGTCACCCAGGCTGGAGTGCAGTGGTGTGATTTTGGCTCACTGCAAGCTCCACCTCCTGGGTTCACTCCATTCTCCTGCCTCAGCCTCCCAAGTAGCTGGGACTACAGGCGCCCGCCACCACACCTGGGTAATTTTTTGTATTTTTAGTAGAGACGGGGTTTCACCATGTTAGCCAGGATGGCCTCGATCTGACCTCGTGATCCGCCCGCCTCTGCCTCCCAAAGTGCTTGGATTACAGGCGTGAGCCACCGCGCCCGGTTGAAACAAATTTTAACCTAAAGATACACAGAACTCAGGTACCTTCAGCATGCTCTAATGGCCATCAGCCTATCCCTTCTCCCCTGTAATATTATGCTGAAGCAACATGCAGACATTATATGATTTCATCTGTAAATATTTTAATGTGTATCTCTTAAAAAAGGGACTCTTTTCAAGAAACATAACCAGAACAGTGTTATTGTGTTCTGTTTAATAAGAAGCCTCAAGGTGGTTAACATCAGGCCTTGGAGTGATGAACAGTGTTCTCTAAGCTGGTCACTTCCTTTGCAGGGTTTATCCTTTGTGCTCAGTGCTGGTCAGTGGGTGGGACAGTCGGTCCTAGGCTGAGCACAATAATTCAGCTCCAGTCAGACCCTGCTGTTTATCTCAATCTCTCTCTCACTTTTGAGACGGGGTCTTACTCTGTCACCCCGACTGGAGTGCAATGGTGTGATTCCTGCTCACTGCAATCTCTGCCTCCCAGGCTTAAGCAATTCTCCCACCTCAGCCACACTACCACACACAGCTAATTTTTGTATGTTTTGTAGAGACAGGGTTGCACCATGTTACCTAGGCTGGTGTCTGTGTCTCTCTCTCTCTCTAACATTTTATTTTTATTTATTTTTAATTTTTATTTTTTACAGAGATGAGGTCTTGCTTTGTTGCCAAGGCTGGTCTTGAACTCCTGGCTTCCAGTGATCCTCCCACCTTGACCTCCTAGACTCAAGAGTTTCTAATCAGGAGACACTCATGGAAGAACAGAGTAGGCCTCCTGGGGATGCTCTGGGACTGGAGCCTTGCCTCAGCCTCTTTATTTTAAACCTTGGTCTAAAGTCTCCTATGACCTCCCGGCTGAGTTCATATTACACAAGCCCCAAATCCCTTTGTAGCATTTAGAAAACTGTAACCACAGAATTCTGTGCCTAGCTGTATACCTACCGTCTTGCCCTTGAGAACTAAGTGCCTTGAAGGCAAGGGTCCTGTCTTGCTCAAATCTTACACCCAATACCTGCCACAGCTTGTAGCACATAGTAGGTGCTCAGATCAGCTTTGTGAAATGAAGCAGAGAAGTCAGGGCACCTGGGTTCATTCCCCAGATTTTTTTTTTTTTTTTTTGAGACTGAGTCTCGCTCTGTTGCCAAGGCTGGAGTGCAGTGGCATGATCTCTGCTCACTGCAAGCTCCACTTCCTGGGTTCACGCCATTCTCCTGCCTCAGCCTCCTGAGTAGCTGAGACTACAGGCACCTGCCACCACTCCCAGCTAATTTTTTTTGTATTTTTAGTAGAGACGGGGTTTCACTGTGTTAGCCAGTGTGGTCTCGATCTCCTTACCTCGTGATCCACCTGTCTTGGCCTCCCAAAGTGCTGGGATTAAAGCATGAGCCACCACGCCTGGCCCATTCACCAGATATTTACTGAGCACCCAACCTGTGCCAGCCACTGTGCTAGAATCAAGGAAGACAGCAGTTGTAGAAAAGGAGAGGAAAATCCTTATCTTCTCAGAGCTTACATTCTGCTGGAAGACAATGGATGGGCAAGGAGATGGATGAATATATGCTATGGGACCAAGCCTTTGCTCCACCCTCACCTTGCTGGATGACCTGGGGTATTTCACTTCACCTCGGTGAGCCACAGTTTTCCATTTCTGTCAAATAAGGAAGTAGGGCAAGATGGTCTCCTTAGAATTCAAAACATTCCCAGAGGGTCTGCAGGGATTTCTCAAACATTGAATTGTCTTCCATCCAATGTCAATGCTTTAAGCATACTGAGGACCCTGTTTGTTCCTTGGACATAATTAAGCCCAAGATTGTGTGGGCAGGAAACTCAATGCTCATGTTTCAGGAAAAGCACTGGATCCAATGATTGCCAAGTCCAACCCCAGCTCAGATCAGCTAATCGGGGACCCCATGCTTCTGCATTATCTTCTTTCTGTTTGTAAAACAGGCACATCCTAGGTGCTTCAATATTGAGTTCCAGCTGAATCAGCCCTTCCAAGGTCACTGCCCAGGGTATGTATGGGGCATCCCTAGCCCTGGGCTGTGAACCCCTGTCTATCCTTGTTACTCTCAGCAGAACCTAAGGATCAATGGAAGATAAATGGCAGGGGTCAGAAATGTGGGGTTTGTGTGTGAGGAAGAGAGATGCCCAGGGGCTCCAGCATCACTTGGAGGACAAGAAATCGATGGAGATAAGTGGGGGGTCTTGTCTGGGCTGGTGCAGGAGCACTTCTTGTTTTCACAGACAGCCCTCATTCCTGCACAGCCATGATCCTCATTCCTTAGCTGGGTATCCCAATGATAGAAAGAAAACATCACCAACAAGTTGGGTATTGGGGTTCTGAGGTCAGGTTGGACTTGCCTCCAATCTCAGCCCTACTGTGTGGAGCAGTGGAACCCTTATATGCTGCTGGTGGGCAACCAATTTACAGAGGCAAGTTTGGCAGTTTCTTGTATAACTTACCCTTATCATGTGACCCAGCAACTCCATTCCTAGGGATCTAACCAAGAGTAATGAAAACATATTCTCACACAAAAACTTATACACACATTTTCATAACAAAATTATTCATAATAGCTCAAGACTGGAAACAACCCAAATGTGCACCAGCTGAAGAATGGATATGTAGATGTTTGTGGTCCATCCATGCAACAGAACTTTATTTGTCAATAGACAGGGATGAAGCCACAATGGACATTACAACACGGATGAACCTCAGAAGCATTACACTATGTGAAAGAAGCCAACCACAAAAGGCCACACTATATGATTTCACTTAGAGGGAATGTGCAGAAAAAGGCACATCTGTGGAGTCAGAAAGCAGATTGGTGGTTGCGTAGGGCTGGGGGTGGGAATGGAAGATTGACTGCAAACAGGCAAGAGAAATGTTTTCAGGGTAATAGAAATATTCTAAAACTGGCTTGTGCTGACGGTTGCCCAAATCTATAGATTTACTGATCTAACTGTACATTTATTGTGAGTAAATTTTATGGTGTGTAAATTATGCCTCAGTAAAGCTGCTGAAATATGCAAAATAAAACCCAAAACTCACCCCTTGATTCCTCCTGCTGTGCAGGCTGGGACAATCAACTCCAGTTCCCTGAGCCTCAGTTTATTTATGTGTAAGATGGGCATGTACTAATGGAACCTCTCAATGAGCATGCCAGGAGGATTCATATAACAGAAAATACATGCAAAGACTTTTGCTGGGAACTCGGCACCTGCACAGGGCCCTCAATTATGTGGGCTGTTGGTGTCATTTCCATGGAACCAAAGAGACTATAGCCACAGAACTCCTCCTTGCTGACAGCTGGTGGGGCTGGTGTTGGCTTTGTTCACTGAGCATTTCCAGTGCTCGGCATTCACTGTGCACTGTAAACATTCTCTAAGCATCATGGACAAGTGAACAAAACAGAGCCCCTCTACAGGTGTCCAGCACCCTTTGGGGAATCAGAGGAGAAAACAGGTGTTTGCAACCCTGTGTGATGGGCACATGTGCTGTAGGAGCCCAGGGAGAAACAAACTGGCTAAAATGGGCACGTGAGGGGCTCCTCAGAGGCAGCTACACTTGTGTCCTTGCAGGAACCCTGCTGAGCCCGATTCTGGAACAGATCAGGACAGGAAGAGCTTTCAAAGAGTTTCTGTTTCAATATTCTTTTCATTGCTAGGAAACTGAGGCTGAGAAAGGGTTAGGAACTGGCTCAGGGTCTGTGGTGGGAGTGGGATTTGAATGCTGTCCGACCTTGAAACCTGTGTTAGTATGAATCCTCCCAGAAGCAGACACCAAGTTAGGATGAGATCAGCAGAGATTTATTGGGGATGCACGTGTGCAGGTTAAGAGAGGGGCCAGGAGTGATCAGGGAGAGCCTTCAGACTGCCATGTGAGAGGGGAGAGGGGGAAGGAAGGAAGGTAGGGCAGGAGGAGTCCGAGACACAGCACAGCTCTAGGAACGTTTGGCCGGATCAGTTGGGAGTCTCTGGTGGACTATTGACTGTTAGAGGATTCCCTTGTCCTGCAGGAACAGGTGGCACTAGTACCCTGGCATGCTCGGTTCTGGCTGGGAGCAGCCTATAGGAAGTGTGGCCTCAGTGCCCAGGCTGGAGTGCAGTGGTGCAATCACGGCTTACCACAGCCTTGACCTCTTGGGCTGAATTTGTTCTTCCACCTCAGCATCCTGGGTAGCTGGGACCACAGGCATGTGTAACCATGCCCAGCTAATCTTTTATTTCTTATAGAAGGTCTTGTTGTGTTACCCAGGCTGGACTCAAACTCCTGGACTCAAGCAATCCACCCTCCTCGGCATCCCAAAGTTCTGGGATTACAGATGTGAGCCACTGGGCCCGACCGGTTGGTTGTATTTCTATTGGATAGTGCTGGTCTAACACAGGTTTTCTCAGCCGCAGCACTGTTGACATTTGGGGCTGAATCATTCTTTGTGTTGAGGGTGGTCTTGTATATTCTACAGTGTTCAGGAGCCTCCCCGGCCTCCAGCTACTAGATGTCAGTAGCACCTAGTTAATCCTCAAGGCATGGCAACCTGAAGTTTCTCCAGACATCGACAGAATCATGTAGCCACAAGAGCCTGTGGCTTACCACATGCCAAGCACTGGTATTAAGGACAGGGTGTTAGGGATACAAACAGGGAACGAATAGTCCTGCCTATGTGGCACTTACTTTAGTGGGAAGTAGAGACAATGAATAAGTAAATATACATTGCCCCTGGCAACAAGTGTGGTGGTAAACAGTGAAACAGGAAAGGGGACCAGGAGCACACGGTGGTATGTGCTAGCAGGCCTCCTGTTGTGTGTATTTCATCAGGGAGGCCTCACAGAGAAATTGAAGAGTGAGGAAACAAGCTGGATTCTGAGACCAGTGTTTGAAAAAGTGGCAGGGGCCAGTGCAAAGACCCAGTGGTGCACATCACTGAAAACAAGGAAGGAGATCTCTATGTAGTGACATGAAAAGACTATTAATTAGGGAAGAATTTGGAAAGGGGGGGCCTTGAACTTAAACTAGGACAAATGATACACATCTTTCTGGTGAGGTGGGTAAACCTTTTTAAAAATAGCTTTACTGAGGGCCAGGTGAAGTGGCTCACATCTGTAATCCCAGCACTTTGGGAAGCTGAGGTATTTGAATCACCTGAGGTCAGGAGTTAGAGACTAGCCTGGCCAACATGGCAAAACCCAGTCTCTACCAAAAAATATGAAAATTAGCTGGGCATGGTGATGCATGCCTGTAGTTCCAGCTACTCGGGAGGCTGAGGCAGGAGAATCGCTTGAGTCCAGAAGGCAGAGGTTACAATGAGCTGACATCACGCCACTGCAGTCCAACCTGGGTGACAGAGCAAGACTCCATCTCAAAAAAAGTAAGAAAAAAGCTTTATTGAAATATAATTCACGTGCCATAAAAGTCACTCATTTAAAGCCCAAAATTCAATGGTTTTTATTACGTACATAGAGTTGTGCAACAGTCACCACATTTGCTTTAGAAAATTTTCATCACCTCTAAAAGGAACCCCATACCCTGTAACCATCACTCCCAAATTCCCCCAGTCCCCCACTCAACCCTAGGCAACCATTAATCTATTTTCTGTCTTCAAATTGGTCTATTACATTTCACATAAATAGAATCATATGTGATTTTTTTGTGACTGGCTTCTTTCACTTAGCATAATGTTTTCAAAGTTCATCATGTTCTAGGATATATCAGTACTTCACTCCTTTTTATTGCTGAATAATAGTCCCTTGTAGCAATATATCTCATGTTGTTTATCCATCCATCAGTTGATGAGCATTTGAGTTGTTTCCAATTTTGGGCTGTTACATATAATACTAAGAATAACATTCAACTGCAAGTTTTTGTGTAAACATATGTTTTTCTTTCTCTTTGAAGTAGCTTTGCTGGGTTATGTGGTAACTCTTATGTTTAGCAAATTGTGGCACTACCAAACTTTTCTAAATGGTATGGATCATTTTACAGTCCCATCAACAATGAATGAGGTTGCCAATTTCTTCACACCCTTGCCAATACTTCTGTCTTTTTTATTAAAGCTATCCTAGTGGGTGTGAAGTAGTATCTCATTGCGGTTGTGATTTCCATTTCTTTAAAAACTAATGATACTGAGCATCTTTTTAATGTGATCATTGGCCATTTGCATACATTCTTTGGAGAAATGCCTATTCACATATTTTGTCTATTTTTAATTGGATTTTTTATTGAGTTTTATGAGTTTTTATATTACATATTCTAGATAAAAACACTAACGGATATATAAATGGCAAATATTTTCTCTCAGTTTGCGGGTTGCTTTTTAACTTTCTTGATGGTGTCTTTTGAGACACAAAAGTTTTACTTTTGGTAAAGTCTAATTTGGCTATTTTTCTTTTGTCGTACTTCAAAAGCTTGGCCTAACCCACAGTAGTAAGATTGACTTATATATTTTTTCTAAGAATTGTATAGTTTTAGCTCTTATATTTAGGTGTGTTGTCCAATTACAATTTAGTTTTGTGTATGGTGAGAGGTAGGGTCTAACTTTATTCTTTTGTCTGTGGATAAATAGTTGTTCCAGTATCATTTGCCAGAAAAACCATTCTTTCCCAATTGAATTGTCTTGGATCCTGGTTAAAAATCCATTTTTTGTAAATGTGAAGGTTTATTTCCAGACTCTTCATGCTACTGATCTACCTATGCCAGCACCACCCTATCTTAATTACTGCAGCTTTGTATTAAGTTCTGAAATTAGGAAGTGTGAGTCCTCCAATTTGTTCTTCTCTTTTTAGATTGTTGGCTATTCTGAGCTCCTTGAATTGCCATAAGAATTTTAAGTATGCCAATTTTGCAAAAATGTTAGCTGGGATTTTGACAGGGATTGTATTAAGTCTGTAGATTTGGAGAGTATTGCAATCTTAATACTAAGACTTCTAATCCATAAATATCTACTATTTTTCAGTTTATATCTAATTTATTTCAAAAATGTTTTACAATTTTTAGAGTACAAGTTTTGTTCTCTTTTTTTAAATTTATTCCTAAGTATTTTATTCCTTTAAATGCTATTATAAATGGAATCACTGTCTTAATTAATTTCAGATTGCTCATTGCTAGTGTATAGAAACACAACTGATTTTAATGTATCGATCTTGTGCACTGCAACTGTGCTGAACTGTTTATTTAGTTCATTTAGTTATTTAGTTCTTCCTAAAGATCTACTATATAAAAGCTTTATATACAAGATCATGTCATTTACAAATAGAGCTTTACTTCTCCCTTTCTAATCTATATGCTCTTTTATTCCCCCCACTTTTTTTTGAGAGAGAGTCTCATGCCAGTCTTGCCCAGACTGGAGTACAATGGCACAATCTCAGCTCACTGCAACCTCTGCCTACTGGGTTCAAGCGATTCTCCTGCCTCAGCCTCCCAAGTGGCTGGGATTACAGGCATCTGCCACCATGCCAGGCAAATCTGTGTATTTTTAGTAGAGATGGGGTTTCACTAAGTTGGCCAGGTTGGTCTCGAACTCCTGACCTCAGGTGATCCACCTGCTTTGGCCTCCCAAGTGCTGGGATTACAGGCGTGAGCCACCATGCCCTTCTTATTTCCCTTTCTTGCCTAATTGCCCTGCTCTAGAACCTTCATTACAAGATTGAATAAAAGTGGTGAGACTGGACATCCTTGTCTTATTCCTGACTGTAGAAGGAAACCATTAGGTATAACATTAACCGTGGGGTTTTTATAGATAACCATTTATCAGGTTGAGGAGCTTCCCTTCTATTCCTACTTTAGGTGGGTTTTCTTTTTAGTCAAGAAGGGGTGTGAATTTTGTCCAATGCTTTTTTCAGAAAGTGTCTATTGAAATCATCATGTGGTTTTCTTTCTTCTTTTATTCATATATTACATTAATTTTTGTGTGTCAAATGAATCTTGCATTACTGGGATAAATCCTATTTGTACATGGTATGTAATCCTTTACAAATGTTGATGGATTTGGTCTGGAAGTATTTCCTCAGGATCTCTGTGTCTATAATCATAAGAGATGATCTGTAGCTTTCTTTATGTCTGTCTGGATTTGGTATCAGGGTAATATTGGCCTTATAGGATGAGTTGGGAAGTGTTTCTGACATGGGTAAATTTTTAAATGTATTTCAGGATAGGCAAAGCCTCAGAGTGGGAGAAGGATATCAGTAAGTAAACCTAGGTGAACAGAAAGTGAACACTATGAAAGTGCAAGCATCAGAGAAATGTGCCATACATAAATTTTTTTTACAATTTTTTCTACCAAAGGATATGAGATATCACTGAACTCACTACAATATAAGCATGTTTAAAGAAGCAGTTCTTTTTAAAGATGGTGGTTTTGTTAGTAATCTCCACTCCATAAGCATGATATTCCAGAGGCATCTGAAATCCAATATACTCAAAACTTATAATTTTTCCCACAAACCTCCTGCTTTCCTGTAGTCCCCATCTTGGTAAAGAGATGCCTTTCATGCCATCACTCAAAATGATCTGTCAATAATTTTGGATTTTCCCCCAACCCCATGACACCTAGAAATGACCAATTCTAGACAATATGACTTCCTAATATTGTTTTTTGTTTGTTTGTTTGTTTTTGAAACACAGTCTTGCTTTGTCACCCAGGCTGGAGTGCAGTGGCGCGATCTCGGCTCACTGCAACCTCCACCTCCCCAGTTCAAGAGATTCTCCTGCCTCAGCCTCCTGAGTAGCTGGGACTAAAGGCACGCACCACCACGCCTGGCTAATTTTTGTATTTTTAGTACAGATGGGGTTTCACCATATTGGCCAGGCTGGTCTCGAACTCCTGACCTTGTGATCTGCCTGTCTCGGCCTCCCAAAGTGCTGGGATTACAGGTGTTAGCCACTGGGCCCAGCCTCTTAATATTGTTTATATCTGACACCCACTCCATCTACAATGATTAGGGCTTAATTTAGGGCTTCATTAGCTCTCAACTGAGCAATTTTCATGGCCTAGTTTTGATCCTCGATTCTTGCCTTTCACTCTTTCAACCCATCTGTCCATGAAGCCAGTTTTAATTTCAATTTTGAAAAAATGTTTATGAAAACTAGATTAGGGTATCATATTTTTACATTATTCAGCAATGATGTTTAAGCAAGCAGAGAAGTCACACAAAGTTCTAAAATAATTTTATGTTTGACTTTAGAATGCATTGCAATGAAACCTCAACAATGAAGGAACTAAATGAGGGAAATGAACTAAGTTAGTCTAAACATGAAAAGGTTCCTTTTTGAATAGATTTCATTTTTTGAGCAGCAGAACTGAGCAGAAATTACAGAGTTCCTATATGACCCTCACTCCCACAGCCTTCTCCTATCACAACCTGCACCAGAGTGGTACATTTATTACAACTGATGAACCCCACAGTGACACATCATTTTCACACATAAATAGAAGTTTGTAATTTACATTAGGGTTCACTCTTGACGGATTTGAACTAATGCATAATGACGTGTATTCACCATTACAGTACCACACAGAATACATACACTGTGCTACAAATCCTCTGTGCTTTGCCTATTCATTCCTCTCTCCCCTCAGATCCTGGCAAACACTACACTTTTTACCATCTCCATACTTTTACCTTTTCCAGACATAATTCGGGATTTTATAGTATACGGCCTTTTCAGATTGGCTTCTTTCACTTAGTAACACACACTTAAGATTCTTCCATGTCTTTTCATGGGTTGATATAGCTCATTTCTTTTTGGTGCTGAATAACAGTCCATTGTCTGGGTATAGTACAGAGTTTATTAATACATTCATCTACTGAAGGACATCTTGGTTGCTTCCAAGTTTTGGCAATTGTGAAAAAAGCTTCCATACACATCTGTATGCAGGTTTTTGTGTGAACATGTTTTCTACTCACTTGGGCAAATTCCAAGGAGCATAATTGCTGGATCATACAGTAAGAATATGTAAGAAGTTGCCAAACAATCCTCCAAAGTACCATTTTGTATTCCCACTGGCAGTGAATGAGAGTTCCTGTTGCTCCCCATCTTCCCCAGCTTTGGTGTTGTCAGTGTTTTGGATTTCAGCCATTGTAACAGTCATGTAATAGTACGTCACTGCTGTTTTAATTTGTATTTCCCTAATGACACATAATGTGGAGCACAGTTATCTTTTGAAAATGTAGAACTGATCATGTTATTTCTTGCCTCAAGGTCCTATAATGACTTCTCCCTGTCTATAGAATATAATTCAGACTCCTTAGAAATGCTCCCAAGATTATGCATCTCACATTCCGGCCCCATTTTACTCATCTACAACCTCACCTCATCTTGCAACATCTCTGGTACTTCTATCCTCTAATCATCTGCATCTGCAGCTTCAGAACACATCAGCTTCTATATTGTTGCTCCTGCTCTGCTCTACTTACTATCTTGTGCACACATGGTTACCTGACAAGCACCTAATCACCTTTCAACATTCAGCTCCAATATCAACTATTCCACAAAGCTTTTATACCTACCCCCTTTACACTACTACCTACATCATATATTGCACCCATAACAATTTCTTTATTTTATTATTTCTTTATTTATTGAGACGGAGTCTCTCTCTGTCACCCAGGCTGGAGTGCAGTGGCATGATCTTGACTCACTGCAAGCTCCGCCTCCCAGGTTCATGCCATTCTCCTGCCTCAGCCTCCCGAGTAGCTGGGATTACAGGCGCCTGCCACCACGCGTGGCTAATTTTTTATATTTTTAGTAGAGATGGGGTTTCACCATGTTAACCAGAATAGTATCAAATTCCTGACCTCGTGATCTGCCCACCTTGGCCTCCCAAAGTGCTGGGATTACAGGCATGAGCCACTGTGTCCAGCCCCTAACAATTTCATTTTTAACTAAACTGAAGGGAGCACATCTGATCTCTACCACCTAGCACAGTCTTTTGCACATATTGGTACTCATTAAAGCTTTGTTCAAGGAAAGAATAGATATTTTAGTCTTTCAATTGATCCTCAGAACAAACCTGTGCTATAGGTAAGGTATTCTCCAAGTTTTAGACATTAATAAATATTTGGTTATCCTCTGTGTTAGCCTGTTCATATTGCTATAAAGGAATACCTGAGACTGGGCAATTTATAAAGAAAAGAGTTTTATTTTGGCTCACAGTTCCGTAGAGTGTACAAGGAGTATAATGCTGGTATCTGCTTCTGGTGAGGGCCTCAGGAAGTTTACAATCATGGCAAGAGGAAAGGAGCCAGCATGTTACATGGTGAGAGAACAAGAGAGAGAGAAGAAAGAGGTGCCAGGTTGTGTTTATTTGTTTGTTTAAGACAGAGTCTTGCTCTGTCACCCAGGCTGGAGTGCAGTGGCGCGATCTCAGCTCACTGCAACATCTGCCTCCTGGGTTCAAGCGATTCTCCTGCCTCAGCCTCCTGAGTAGCTGGGACTACAGATACGTGCCACCACACCTGGCTAATTTTTGTATTTTTAGTAGAGATAGGGTTTCAAGATGTTGGCCAGGATGGTCTCCATCTCCTGAAATTGTGATCTGCCAGCCTCAGCCTCCCAAAGTGCTGAGATTACAGGCATGAGCCACCATGCCTAGCCCCCAGGTTCTTTTAATCCAGATCTCATGTGAAATCAGAGTGAGAACTCATTCATTACCACAAGGGCAGCACCAAGACATTCATGAGGATCCACCCCCATGACCCAAACACCTCCCACTAGGCCCACTTCCGATACTGGCGGTCAGATTTCAACATGAGATTTGGAGGGGACAAAACATCCAAGCCATATCATGCTCCAAAAGTTTGTTTAGAGGGATGTTGGCTTCTCACAGGAATCCCATTCTGATTCACTCCAAATGAAGTCCATCAATGTTTATCCAACTCATAACATACATGCACATACAGGAATCTGCTATGAGTTTTTATAATATTAATAGGAAAGATAATTAATTTGGGAATCTGAATTGCATTGTTCAAACTTCTAGTGATCCTAAAGGGAGGGCATTACAGAAAGGAAAGTTGTTTCTTGTAGCATAGCTCTTTTGAGTGTTGTTGCACCACATTTCAAAATGATGGGTATTAGAGTAATACAAGGTACCAGGCTAATAATACTGCTGGTGATAGTGGTAAAGGGTCATTGCTCTTAAATAAAAGCTAAATTTAAAAGCTGCATTGCTTATATATGACTTTGTATGGAGCTCTCTAAACTTAACCCCCTTTCTTTCACTCATTCAAACAACTGCTTTTATAATTTTGGATAACATGAATTCTTAAAAACATACTTATGCTATATCAAATAAGACTGTCCTATAGGGTCACCAGTGTGTGTATCCCCGAAGCCAACAGTACTCCTACCTACATAGTTGCGGCTCTAGCAACAGAAGTCAGGTGTCAGGACTGCAAAATGCACATGACAGAAATAAAGACATGAGTGACTATGACTGCCAAAGGAATCTGGATTGTTTCCTTCACCACAGTGTTCTTCCATAGTGAGACCCTGAAAATAATAGGCTGGGGGAGGGTAGAAGATAACAAACAGATTTGCAAGTCCTTCACCTATAATGAGAATGGATAATTCAATTATATGCCAGAAGAAAAAGCACAACCCCGTTCAGTATTAATTGTGCTGGAACTTCCACCATAAGTCTGGGTCCAGTCAATGGGGTAATTTCCAATATCCTAAAAGAACTAAGATTGATAACCAAAAGGAAAATGTTTCCCTCTAGAAGATAGTTATGCTTCTCCTCAGGAGTAGAAATCACTGTAGCAGAGGACAAAATGAGGCCATGAAATCTGGTTAAGCCAGACTGGATGCCTAGAGGGTAGCTGAGGAACAAATGGAAGCTGCAGCAGGACAAAGACCCAGCCAGTACTAAAAGCTGGGTCCATGAACAGCTTCTTGAAATGGTGTGTGGTCGTGCTTAGCTGAGCATGCTGTGGGACTCATGATGTTGGAAAATGAGGGGGCAATGAAGACTTAAAGATGGGATGGAAAAACAGCTAAAAAAAACAAAACAGAAGGGGAACAAGAAACAAAACAGAAAAAAAGCTGGCCACGGTAGCTCATGCCTGTAATCCCAGCAATTCAGGAGGCCAAGGTGGGAGAATCACTTGAGGTAAGAAGGTTGAGACCAGCCTGGGCAACATAGCAAGATCCTTGTCTCTACAAAATTAAAAAAAAAATTAGCTGGGCATGATGGCACACATCTGTAGTCCCAGCCATTCAGGAGGCTAAGGTGGGAGGATCACTGGAGTCCTGGAGCTCAAAGGTGCAGCAAGGTATGATTATGCCACCGCACCCCAGCCTGGGCAACACAACCAGACCTTGTCTCAGAAAAAAAACAAAAAAAAATGGGGGCAGGTAGAGAAAAAAGTATTTCCAGAATTTTTTACAATTAAAACATATATCTAGCTATTAAAAGTAATGACAGCAAAAAGATTTCCAAATCAATTCCCAAAGCATTTCTCTCATCTCTTCTGAAAACGTCTGAAAAGACAACTATAAAGATGAAATAGAAGTTAAAGCTAAACAAGGCAATAGCGCTAAATATGTAATTTCAGTAACTCAGAATTTGCTCCATCCTCTGCTCTAAAAAAGCTTAGCTACAGAAGAGCAGTTACCTTTGAAACTTTTTCCCCAACATAAAGATATCCAGAATGTGAAGCTGCCATTAAAAATATTGCCATAGGCTGGGCGCAGTGTCTCATGCCTGTAAACCCAGCACTTTGGGAGGCTGAGGCATGTGGATCACAAGGTCAGGAGATTGAGACCATCCTGGCTAACACGGTGAAACCCCATCTCTACTAAAAACACAAAAAAATGAGCCAGGCACGGTGACAGGCACCTGTAGTCACAGCTATTTGGGAGGCTGAGGCAGGAGAATGGAGTGAACCCAGCAGGCGGAGCTTGCAGTGAACAGAGATCACGCCACTGCACTCCAGCCTGGGGGACAGAGCGAGACTCTGTCTCAAAAAAAAAAAAAAAAAAAAAAAGTCCAATGGCAATTTAGATTATAAAACATGGGAAGTAAAATAAAACTTATATTTGTTAAACTAAGTTGTATTTAAACTAAGTATTAAACTTAGTGCATCAGTCTTGAAGAAAGCTCATGCCTAAGACTTTCCTTTGAACTCAAATCTAGACAGCTGGGCTCTCTGACCTCACAGAGCTTCCCATGATTTCTTCCTCCAACATCTGCCATGATATCTCTTCCTACTGTGGTTCTGCACTATATTACGACAAGCGACTTGTTTATTTCAAGGGATCAACATTAATTACAGAGGCTATAAGGAAGCCGAATGTAAAAATACCAAGAACTCAAAAACTTCCAACTCCAGAGAAGAATGACATTTTAATTCTAAAAATCCTAAAGCAGATTGAAAAAAAAAGTGTAAAAACTCATGCAACACACATGTGAACAAGACACAATGAAAAACTGCTAGTAATCCTTTTACCACAAGTCTGAATGTGGCCTTTAGAAAGCATTTAGGGAAATTCTACTCGACTGTGCTCACACCCCTTCAAATCAAAGAACTCCCAAGCACTTGCATAAGTGCTGTATCTCTGGAGTCTAGAGTCTTACAAATCAAAGTGGAGTCCACAAGCCAGCAGCAGATTATGCAGAATTTCAGGCCCCGCCCCTATTTTCTGAGTCAGAACCTGCATTTCACAGGGTGCCCAGGTGATTTCCTAAACATGAAGGTTTGAGAAGTGCTCCTCAATGTTTAGCAGTGACTAAATGCTGAAATCCACTAGAGAGCATCACAAAACTCCAATGACGAGGCTGTACCCCAACCAGATTAATTCAGAATCTCTGGAGCTGGGATCCACTGTCAGCACTCATTAGGTCTTTTCTTTTTATTTTTTTTCCTTTTTTGAGACAGAGTCTCGCTCTGTGGCCCTGGCTGCAGTGCAGTGGCACGATCTTGGCTCACTGCAACCTCTGCCTCCCAGGTTCCAGTGATTCTCCTGCTTCAGCCTCCTGAGTAGCTGGGATTACAGGCAGGCACCACCACGCCCAGATAATTTCTATATTTTTTAGTAGAGACGGAGTTTCGCCATGTTGGCCAGCCTGGTCTCAAACTCCTAATCTCAGGTGATCTGCCCACCTCTGCCTCCCAGACTGCTGGGATTACAGGCGTGAGCCACTGTGCCTGGCCTGTCAGCACTCTTTTAAGTTCCCCATGGATCCCAGTGAGCAGCCGAAGTTGACAGCCTTTGTTCTAGGACAAGCTTGTCCAACCCGTGGCCCATGGGCCACACACAGCCCAGTATGGCTTTGAATGCGGCCCACCACAAATCTGTAAACTTTCTTAAAACATTATGGGATTTATGCATGAACCTTTTTTTTTTTTTTTTTTTAGTTCATCAGCTATTGTTAGTATTAGTGCATTTTATGTGTGACCCAAGACAATTCTTCTTCTTCCAGTGTGGGCCAGGGAAGCCAAAAGACTGGACGCCCCTGTTCTAGAACCTTGGCTATCTTTCCTCTGCATATCTTTTTGCTCCAAGCTTTAGGTAATGTTTTTATTTTCCCTGAACCACTATAATACTCTAGTAGGAGCAACTACACTGATGTCTGGCTGTTGCTACAGGGGGAACAATCACTGACAATGTTTAAAAGAAAAAAACTGGATAATCCATCATAAATTCATATGTTCGAGTAGAAAACACAAATTATATATGCTTGGGAATTCCTTGATGTGGAAATGTGAGCACAGCTGGGTGGGAATTCCTTAAATGCTTTCTAAAGGCCAGAGTCAGACTTTTGTAGTAAAAGGATTGCTAGCAGTTTTTCGTTGTGTCTTGTTCACATGTGTGTTGCATAAGCTTTTCTCTCTTTTTTTTTTTTTGAGACGGAGTTTCGCTCGTTGCCCAGGCTGGAGTGCAATGGCGCGATCTCGGCTCACAACAACCTCCGTCTCCTGGGTTCAAGTTATTCTCCTGCCTCAGCCTCCTGAGTAGTTGGGATTACAGGCATGCGCCACCACAAGCTGCTAATTTTTTTGTATTTTTAATAGAGACAAGGTTTCTCCATGTCAGGCTGGTTCCGAACTCCCAACCTCAAGTGATCTGCCTGCCTCAGACTCTCAAAGTGCTGGGATTACAGACGTGAGCCTCCACGCCCAGCCGCATAAGCTTTTAATACATTTTTTTTGCAATCTGCTTCGGAATTTTTAAATTGCTTTCAGTAAGAACATGAACATATCTATGACTTATATATCCACTTCACCCGCTCCTAACTTGCCTACAATGTTAAAAAAAAGAGGAATTATTATAACACAGGAAGATGTTTAACACTGAGGATTTTTTATGTCATCATATTTAAAGTCTTTTTCTGCACAGCTAAATCTGATTCCCTGCTACTAAATCTGATTGAGTTAGCAACTAAACTAACTGATTTGGTAGTATCTATCCAGATCACAAACAGAAATATTGTTAAGACTCCCTCAAAAAGGAGTTTAACCTCAATATGTAACTCCTCCTAACTATAGTTCTAAATTAATGAAACACAGTAGTCATTTAACAAGATACTAGTATATATGGCCATTGGGGTATACGGGACATGCTACCTCAAAATATGACACCTTGGCATTTGAGAAAACAGAAGCAGAAAGATGTCTCTGACCTCTCCCTGGCCCTTCTCCTCTGAAGGAGGACATAGAAGAATCCTCTAACCCTCTCTGGAGTAGGTCATAAGACCTTCATTCCAGTCCTCCCTATTCCCAGAGGAAAGGAGCCTCCTTATTTGTAAAGATGCAGAGAATGATCTGACCACACAGGCCTTGCTGAGCTCCCCCCAGCTTATTCCCATCAGGTCACACCCCTTTCATCTAATCGTGCTCCCCAAAACTGTCCGCTTCTTCATCAGACAGCATCAAATTGACACAGGATTTCCTGTTTCTCTTGAGTTTTTCTTTCTGAAGGCTCCTGTGTCTGGTAAAACTTATCTTACGTAAACTTGCACACTTTTCTCTGGTTAATCTGTCATTTGTTCTAAGGGACTCAACCATGAACCTAGCGATGGCTGAGAAATCATTTCCCCCCTAGCTGGCCTAACTCATTTGAAGGAGCATACACTATCGTGTGGGAGTCATACTTATTCCTAACCATTTTGAAGAGATTCATCTTTAAATTAATATATTACATTAAATGTCTTCCGTCAGAAAAGACAATCTTGTGAACATCACCTTTGGTGACTGAACATCACGAGATATAAAACAGGTAGAAAAAGAAAATATTTGGGGTGGCTTTAACTCTTAAATCCCATGAAATAATCCCCTCTTCTTTAGCAGAAACCTCAGCTCACCTCCTCATCACTGCTGAACAACAGGGCAGATGCTTTCTTTTTGGAGAGCTCGGAGGCTTTTGCTTTCTCTTCTCTCTGAGCTTGTAGACACAATGTCTGCCTCTTAGCAGCTGTACGCCCAAAAAGATTATCCTAGAAAAGCAAATGGCAGAAAGGTAAGACAACTTTATAATCAGAAAACATAGGATGTCCTCCTATATCAAACTGTTAGGAAGTAAGTCTCCAGTCAGGTATACAAATAACAACTCTGGCGGGGAAAAACCGTAAAATGCTAGTAAATCCCAAACTACAGCCTTTTCTCACTGCACCCATAGAAGGGAAAGAGGTTACCATAGAACTCAAAGGCAGAACAGCTGCGAATAAGCAGGAGAACAACATGCGAATGAGATCACAAAGTACAAGGAGAAACTGAGCCCCATCCAGTCACCCTGTGGGCAAGTGCCTCTCTGCTCATTTCAGGGGGTTACAGCCTGCAACGGGCATGGGAGCCCCTGCAGCAGCCAGAAACTCACACAGTCCTCTCCATGAATGAGAAACCAGAACAATGGCTCAAAGGAGAGAACTGGGGGTCTGTCTCCACTCCTTTACAGGTCAGAAAGACACACACCTGGGATGGAGGGAAGGCATGACTTGTGTTTCTCATTAGTTTCAAAGAGATTATACAAATTGGAGAAATAGTTTACTAAATAAAATTGCTGGTGTACTAAGTTTAATGGCATTTGTAAATTCTTCTGTGGTCAAGCACTCCCCAAAAGTTATATTTCTTAAGGTGCTTTTATTCAGGTAAGGGGAACAAAAGCATCAGAGGGCCTGAGTCTGAGTTAGGATGGACAAACTCTTAACAGCAGGTGAACAGCCCTGGAATGTGAAGATGGATGAAGGGAGTGTCTTCCTGAATGAAGTCTCCTTTAAGGAGAGTGCGGTAATGTAGGACAGGCCAGGAGAATAATGAGCTGGTGTCCATTGGGGATGCTAATGACAGAGCTCACATTCACTATGCACTTATTATGTGCCGGCACTCTGCAAGAGCTTCACACTAGTAGTTACAGCTGCCACAGTGACCCTACTCACTGTTAAGCCACATGAGCTTAAGGAAGGTTAAGTTACTTGCCCCAGGTCCCTGGTTTGCAAGTGGTGGAGCTGGGATATGAACCCAGGGGTCTGATGGCAAAGCCTCTGAGCTCACCACTGCCCAGTACTGCATGAGAGTTAAGGTTTGGGTTGTCTTCTCTCTTATTTCTCTTCCCCACTGTGCTCTCTCCAGCCAGGATGGGAAACAAAGGCAATGGTCAGGACATGGCTGCCTTCTCCTTTGTATCTCCACTTGATCCAAAACATTCTTGTAGGTCATTGGGTATATGTTGATCCATCCTCTAGACTAAAGTACAGCTGACCCTGAATGACACAGGTTTGAGCTGCACAGGTCCACTTCTACACAAATGTTTTCTCAGTAATATGCTGAAAATTTTTTTGACATTTGCAGCAATTTGAAAAATCTTGCAGACAAACCACTTAGCCTAGAAATATCAAAAAAAAAATAAGGAAATGCTAGATATGTCAGGAATACAAAAATATATAAATAGATACTATACTATTTATAGGTTAATCAACTGTTTGTGTTACCCATGAGGCCTCTGGTTAACAGTAAGGTGTCAGTAGATAAGTTTTTGGGAAGTAAGAAGTTATATATGGATTTTTCACTGCAATGTGGAAGCCAAAACAACCTCCTCACTGTTAAAGGGTCAATCGTATTTCTCAAAGGAAAATTTCTAAAAATAAAACCTGTAGATTTCACTCCATGAGAAATGTGTCAAGAGGCCAGGCACAGTGGCTCATACCTGTAATCCTAGCACTTAGGGAGGCCGAGGCAGGCGGATCACCTGAGATCAGGAATTCAAAACTAGCCTGGCCAACATGGTGAAACCCTGTCTCTACTAACAATACAAAAATTAGCCGGGAGTGGTGGTGTGTGCCTGTAGTCCCAGCTACTTGGGAGGTCGAGGCAGGAGAATCACCTGAACCCGGCTGCAGTGAGCCAAGATCGCATCACTGCACTCCAGCCTGGGTGACAGAGAAAGTCTCCAACTCGGAAAAAAAAAAAAAAAAAGAACTGCATCAAGAATCTAATGTCTTCTCCATTGCACAGCTAGGAAAATATAAGGAAGAAGTCACTGAAATAAAAACAGAAATATTTTTGTTATATAAACTTCAGGTGGCCTGACTGCTTCCCTACCACCTTTTGCTAGTATATGAGCCTCTGGGTAGAAAGTTACATCAACAACCGTTTTCTCCTAATCTAAATTATCTAGTGTTACAATAACAATGTTTACCTCTTCATCTTCATCATCAAACAGGGAAACCGACGTGGGGAGCTTGCCAGGCAGCAGAGATGCACCTTTTAAGTTACTCGCACTTTGAGAAGAAAACAAATCCTGTTGGATTGAAATTAAAGTTGCTGGTTAACAGGAATATCAGTTTTTAAAATATCAGGTCAGTATAAAACACAAGTGACTCAGACATGACAGCTGCCATGTGTCTAGGCTTCTTTCCTGAGAGGGAAGGTGGCTCAGACAGAGTCCTTAAAGGGATAGGCCTCAGGGTCTGTGCAGGGTGTGTGCAGTGGCACTAAGGAGGAGGAGAGCTACAGGATCTGGTGGCCTCACAGAGCCCAGGGGCTTCTGTATTCCCACCTGAATGACAGAAGGCAGGAATAAGTTTTTGAATCAATTTCCTACACCATGCTAAAAAAATAAATATATAAGCATGGCTTCCCATTACTGTCTAAAGAATCAGAGATTAGACAGGGTCAATAAAGAAACAGGGGCTAGATTCCCAAATTAATGGAGCTACAACTATTTTATTTAGTAACACCCTCCTCCCCTAAGATTATGACTTACTTCTTTTTCTTTTTTTTGAGGCAGAGTCTCGCTCTGTTGCCCAGGCTGCAGTGCAGTGGCGCCATGTTGGCTCACTGCAAGCTCCCCCTCCCGGATTCACGCCATTCTCGTGCCTCAGCCTCCCGAGTAGCTGGGACTACAGGCGCCCGCCACCACGCCCGGCTAATTTTTTTGTATTTTTAGTAGAGACCGGGTTTCCCCGTGTTAGCCAGGATGGTCTCGATCTCCTGAACTCGTGATCCGCCCGCCTCTGCCTCCCAAAGTGCTGGGATTACAGACGTGAGCTACCGCGCACGGCCCACTTATTTCTTTTAAATAAATTCAAATTAAATTTTTATTTGTAAATGTTTGGTAGTCTACTTAGTTTAACTACACGTATATGATGTTGCAAACCAGGATGAGACCTGCTAGATTCTGAATAAACTTTCAGCCTGGCGCTGTGGCTCATACCTATAATCCCAGCATTTTGGGAGGCTGGGGCAGGTGGATCACCTGAGGTCAGGAGTTTGAGACCAGCCTGGGCAACATGACAAAACCCTGTCTCTACTAAAAATACAAAATTAGCCAGGCGTGGCGGTGGTTGCCTGTAATCCCAGCTACTCAGGAGGCTGAGGCAGGAGAATTGCTTGAACCCAGAAGGCAGAGGTTGCAGTGAGCTGAGATCCCACCACTGCACTCCAGCCTGGGCAAAAAGAGTGAAATTTTGTCTCAAAAAAGTAAAAAATATAAAAATAAAGAAATTTTCAAAACGTTATAAAACATCAGCTTATCCTGCAAAGAAAGACCTGCAAATTGAGCTACATGAAGTAGAAACATAAAATGGGACATCTAATCCCTTGGGAAGAGAAACATTAATACACAAGAGCCGAACAATTAAATAGGACAAGAACATATTTTCTAAGACCTCTTCTGACAGTTTTTTTTTTTTTTTAAATCATGGGGTTGTTGTCTACTCCTCAAACATAGACCTAATGAGTTCACTAAGTGAGATCTCCTCCACACAGTGTTTTTCCCCTGTGCTTCCCAGAGTCCCATGGGTTTATTTAGATAGAAGAGGTCACAAGGGGAATTCCAGGCATCCTGTGCCCCTCCTGAATGTTACACAATGGCAAGAGAAAGGGTTCTGCTGTTCTAAGAAAATGAAAGTAAACCAAAGCAAAGAACAAAAACAAATGTCAACATCACAGTTTCGGACCCTTAACTAATACTTTTATTGGTACTGCAAAAAAAGACACTTCCATTACCTCAAATATGTTCCCCCAAAATGACTTCACAGGGCAAGCTTCAGCCCCACACTTGAGATATAGAGAAAGGAGTCACGATGCATTCCTTCGGGTCCAAAGCTTTAACTCTTACTTAGACTGCCTTAGTTTTACTTCTCCTTGACTCAGAATCTGAACAATATCCAATAAAAACATTCACTCTATGATGACACACATGGGGCAAAGCCTTTGGTAGGGTTTTCACACAAGTCTGAGAGTTCATTTACACTCCCACCATCAAGAAGGGGAGCCTATGGCCTCTCCCCATAAACCTGGATGGGCCATTGTGACCATCTTGACCAACAAATGAAGGAAAAGGAACACCGTTGACTTCCAAGGCTGGAAGACAGAAGGCGACATGGCCTCCACCGGACTCTCCCTGAGGACTCTCCCCTACAGCCCTGAGCCAGCATGTAAGAGGACTGGCTTCCCTGACTACATGCTGGGAGCCACACAGGGCTAGTGAGAGATGTCCCAGGGGCCCCAGTGCCCAGGTACCAGACATATGAGTGAGCTGACCCTCAGCCCAGCCACCTTCAGACACAAGAGACCCTCAGTGACAATGGCCTAGCTAAGCCCAGTCAACCTCTCGAAGTATGAGATAACAAAACTACTGGTGTTATAAACCACTAGGCTTTGGAGTTGCTTGTTTCATAGCAACAAATAACCAGAACACCTCGTAAGTCACTGAAATTGCTCACATTTTGTTTTCTTGTCTAATCAACAATTACTGGATGGCTTACAACATGCCAAGCACTGGTATTAAGGACAGGGTGTTAGGGATACAAACGGAATAAAAAGTCCTGTCCTTGTGGCACTTACTTTAGTGGGAAGTAGAGACAATGAATAAGTAAATATACACTGTCCCTGGCAACACGTGCTGTGGTAAACAGTGAAATAGGAAGGAGGACCAGGAGCACAGGGTGGTACGTGCTAGCAGGCTTCCTGTTGTGTGTATTTCATCAGGGAGGCCTCATAGAGAAATCGAAGAGTGAGGAAGCAAGCTGGATTCTGGGAACAGCATTCCTCAGAGTGGCAGGGGCCGGTGCAAAGACCCTGAGGTGCAGGTGTGGGTGACACAGGGGATCCATGAGCATAAGACGGTGGAGGCCCCATCATGCTGTTTCTCAGGGGTCAGGGTTGTGACTTGACTGGACTTTGGTTAATTCCCATGTTTTGTACACTCGCCTTCAATGAAATAATAGCCTCAAAGGTATTCTTTATGTCAAGGGCAATCACTATACTTCCAAAGGGTTCCATGTTCATCCTTGCTGTGAGTGCAAAGCCCAACCATGACAGCCTAACCTAGAGCCCACAGTTTCTTGAAACACATGTAAGTTTCTGCCATGTCCACATATTTTTCTGTAAAAGGGGCTTATTATTTCCCATTACATTTCTGATACAGGTCTCCAATCTCCTAAAAGGCCAACATAAAATTAGATCTAAGACGACCTAGGCCTGAGAGACTCAGGAAAAGCAGTGAAATTCTGAGAGGTGGTTCTAAGGTGCCTGGAGGGACCAAAGCAACCTGTGAACCAGGGTCCCACAGGCTGTTAGTGGTCTCAGTCTCGACAAGACAGATGGCTATGCCAGAACCCATCTGCTACAGCATTAAGCCACGGTCTAGTTAGTGAAAATGTGAATAAAGGAAGTAGCATGGTGACCTCCACTCTGGTGCAAGCTCCTCATCACATCATGAGCCCATGAACAGTTTAAAATCTGAGCATCCTAAAAAGAGAGAATTTTCATCCCAGGAAACGTAAATACAGTCCAACCCAAAAGTGAAAAGTATTGTAAACATATTGCTTTCTAAAGCCCCTGTGCTCTCAAGAGATTATTTTTTATTCATTTATTTATTTTGAGACGAAGTCTCACTCTGTCGCCCAGGCTGGAGTGCAATGGTGTGATCTCGGTTCATTGCAACTTCTGCCTCCTGGGTTCAAGTGAATCTCCTATCTCAGCCTCCTGAGTAACTGGGATTACAGGCTCACACCGCCATGCCCGGCTAATTTTTGTCTTTTTAATAGTGGCAGGGTTTCATCATGTTGGCCAGCCTGGTCTCGAACTTCTGACCGCAGGTGTCCGCCTGCCTTGGCCTCCCAAAGTGCAGGGATTACAGGTGTGAACCACCACTCCTGGTCTCTAGAGATAATTTTTAAAGAACTGGAGTACTTAACAAAAAGTCTTATAACTCTATTGAGAAAAACCTGATTCAAAAATAGTTTCTATGTCATATCCATAGACTAATACCCACAACTAAGGAAAAGAATAACATACCTCAGAGTCCTCCTGATCCTAAAATAAGCCTTTTTGAGTGTTTGTTTCTGACGAGGGCTTGAGATTTTTGCTGGAAGGTAAGGTAACCTTTGTTGGGGGAAAAGAAAAGAAAAAGAAAAATTAAGCATTAACAAATAAGATACCCAGAAAAGAGGGTTTACTCAATCAACCATTTAGAAAACGCACGGAGTCTCTGCTGTGATAGGCAGCAAGCTGAGGGGGCTGTTAGGAGAACAGCAAGACAAACAGAGGACACATCTGGTGTATCAGGGAGCAGGACACACTGCCTGGGTCAATGGGTGCACAGATGGGACATATGCAATGAGAGACAGCATGGAAAGACTGGCTGCCTGACAGGCCTACCAGGTTCTGAATGCTGGGCCTTAGGGGGTCGGCAGGAGAAAGTCAGGGTTTCACAGCCAGGACATGACATGATGAGACAAACTGTAGAAAGAGGAGGGACCAGCTGTACAGGACAGCAGTGAAAGGTCAAGCAGTCAAAAGGGCTTAAAAACTGCTGGGGACACACACACTGGCCAAATGCAGGTCAATCTGAGCATCAAAAACTATGATGGTCTGGCCAACATGGTCAAACCCAGTCTCTACAAAAAAATACAAAAATTAGCCACCAAGAGCAAGACTCTGTCTCAGAAAAAAAGGAAGAAGAGGAATGATGGTAATGGATTATCATCTACACTGAAGAATGAATTCATGATCCCAGAGCAACACTAAAAATTAGGGAAGCAGAGGAAGAGGAAACTCTTTATTCAGAAGATACCAACTAATAAGAAATATAGAATTAAAAAAGCAGTGGTTTATGACCACTAACAGGTTAACTGATTCAGGAAAAGATCATCAGTGGATTTTCAAAACACTGAGTAAAAGGCTGGGAGAGAACAGGTATTCACACTGTGTTCAACTATCACTTTAGAGATCAACTTAGCAATGGCAAAAGAGAACAGGGTAGCTTTCCAATGAAGCAGTGTGGTGGGCACCCTAGCAACCAAGTGACAAATGTGTCTGAATGAGGCAGACAGTGGACCTGATGTATCTTGGGAGGTGATCCAACTGGAAGTGCACAACCCTGCCTGCTTGTATTCTTGCCAAAACTGCTCACCCTGAATCTATTCATAGAAAAATAATCAAGCAAATTCACATGACACATTCTACAAGACAAGTGGCTGGACGTTAAAAAAAAAAAGAAAAAAAAAGATGTGGGAGATGTTGCACTAGATTAAGGAGACCAAAGAGACAGGACAACCAAATGCAATGCAGACACACTGCCTGAATCCTGGGTTTCTTAAAACAAACAAACAAACAAAAAATCAAAATACACAAAAATACTATAAAGCAGGGGTCCCCAACCCTGGGCTGCAGACCAGCCCATGGCCTGTTAGGAGCCAGGCCGCACAGCAGGAGGTGAGGTGAGCAGCAAGCATTACTGCCTGAGCTCCTCCTCCTGTCAGATCAGTGGCAGCATCAGATTCTCATAGGAGGGAAAACCCTATTGTGAACTGTATATGCGAGGGATCTAGGTTGCAAGTTGCACTCTCCTAATGTCCCCAATGCCAAAAAGGTTGGGGACCGCTGCTATAAATGGCATTTTGGGGACAAGAGAGGAAATTACCATATAAACTATATGCGAGATAATTTTAAATCTGTATTCTATTTGTTGGGGTGATTTTACAAAGACATTCTGGGGCAACTGGAGCAATTCTAATACAGACTAGATATTAGATTCTACTATAGAATTACTGTTAGTCTCACAGCTGTTGATAATGGCATTGTGCTTATATGGAAGTCTTTTCAAGAGAGGCTTAATGAAATATTTAGGGGTAGAATGTCACAATGACTACATGGAAACAGTTCCATGCAGCAAACAGTTCAAACAACTTACATGCAAATAGTTCAGGAAAAAAATAGATATGTCACAAGGTTTACATCCATAAAGTGTTTGCCAAAACCCTAAGAACTGATCAATCTGGGTGGCAGTTATTTGGGTGTTCACTGCAATGTTCTTTCCACTTTCTGTTTGAAGTTCTTCAATATGAACGTGAAAGGGAACAGTACTTCCCTCTGCGTTCCGGATGAATTATTAAAATGCTGCAGATCAATGCTCCTGCGTTAAGTCTTCCCTCCTGCTCACCTTTTTTTCTGCTCTTGCTTTATTTTCATCTGTCTGACTCACAGTGGCTTCTGGCAATGCTACGGCTTTTTCTTTGAACAGATCTCCTTCTTCGTCACCAAAGATATCAGCAGTGGATTGGACTTTGCCTTTAAATACCAAGGCATAAAATTACAATAAGGCCAGAAATCCTACCACAAAAAATCCTACCACAAAATTCATAGAATAAAAAATCCTTCCCTCCCGAAGATTAATATGAAAGTTACGTTGTTTCTTGGTTACTTATAAAGAAATAGTAAGTGGAACTATACTCTTCCCTTCAAATTTTTCAAAGAGTGTATTGACAGCTCAGTTGAAAGACAGAACAAATAGTTTAACCATGCAGCTGATATGCTTATCCAAGCAGCAGTCTCCTGTTGTGGTTACAGAAGCTTGGACTAACTTAAAAGGTGAAGAGAGATCTAGAGGAAGAAAGATCACTTAAGAGGAACACCAAGTCAATCATCGAAGGAATCTGAGAAATGAAGGCTGGGCTCCTGCTTTAAAAAAATCAAACTGGGCTGGGCACAGTGGCTCACACCTGTAATCCCAGCACTTCGGGAGGCCAAGGCGGGTGGATCACGTGAGGTCAGGAGTTTGAGACCACACTGGCCAACGTGGTGAAACCCCATCTCTAGTAAAAATGCAAAAATTAGCTGGGTGTGGTGGCAGGCGCCTGTAATCCCAGCTACTCGGGAGGCTGAGGTAGGAGAATTGGTTGAACCCAGGAGACGGAGGTTGCAGTGAGCCGAGATCCGCCACTGCACTCCACCCTGGGTGACAGAGCAAGACTCCATCTCAAAAAAAAAAAAAAAAAAAATCAAACTGTACAAAAGCAGATAAAAGCAAATAATGAAATTCCCTCATAATTCCACCTGCCTACTCGAACAACATGGACATTGGAAACAGTTCAGCATACATGCTTCCAATTCCCCCAAAGGATGTACTAATGAATTAACACTAGTTATTTACAAATAAGGCTATAAATAAGAAGGTAATTTGAACAATGTGTCTTACCATTTGTATTTTCCACTTAATGTACCTATAAAACATTCCCAAGTCAACAAGCATAGACCCCATTCATTTTAACAGTCGCACAATATTCCACTGAATAGAACGGCCATAGCTTACTCTACTGATGAATATTTTCACCACAGTAAGCACTGCTGTACCAAATGGGGCATGTGTTGCTGAAATGAGGTCACTGACTCATGAATGTCCGAAGAGACTAGGAGTTGTCAAAGAAAGCAGCATCAATTTACTAGTGATTCTAAATCAGTTCTCAAAGATATCCACTAAGTGAGAGCCCTGTGGAGCTATAAAAAGCACTACTACCTTCATTCACTGTCATCTTCACCGAGACCTGCACGAATTCTGCATCCGTTTGCACTCTTTCTAGATTAACTAGGCTATTGTTTTCCCTCGCACTTCGGCTTCCATCCTTGCTTTCTACACCTAACACTGGAAAAGGACAGTAAGTCCAGACAGTCTGCTTCTAAATGAATTCTGATTCCATCTATTCCTATATCATCCTTTTTTATTTTTTCAAGTTGCTGAAAATCATGTGCAACTTAGGGATCTAGGGATCTACCTTTCTTTTCTGGAAGACCAGTCAATGGATCTAAGTCTTGCTATTCCAGGTGTGATCTACAGACCATGAAGCTTGCTGGAAATGTAAATTCTCAGGCCCCACCCTGGACCTACTGAATCAGAATCTTCATTTTGACAAAAGCCTCTGGGAGATTCATCTGCACATTTAAAAACAAATGATTTACAGGAATGACTTCAGGAACACAGGACTTACATTTAAGAGGAAAAAGAAAGGAGAATGCCAAAAAGAAAGGAGTGGCCAAGCGGATGAAAACCCCATAATGTGAAGAAAGACCAAGGCCACCTGAGCTTTTTGGTAGAGAGAAGAGAAGCCGGGAAATAACTGGCCAGCACACAAAATGCTGCTCATGTAATTGACTAAGGTCGGCTGGAAGAAAGGATGATTAAAACTTTATAATTCCAAAGGTCAGAACTGTGAATTAAGCAAAAATTATAGGGATAAAGACTTGAGCCCTCTATAAGGAAAATAATCATAGTAATTAGCTTACAGAGCAGAAAAGATTGGGTCATAAAACAGACCTCCCAGGCACCACACCTATGTAAGTACAGACACAACAGCTCAATGACAGGAATGCTGGAGAAGGGATTCTGGTACTATAAGAGATACAGAACTAGGTGAGCTTATCTTCCATTTAGGCAACATTCTCTTTCTGGCTGAAGTCCTAGACACAGAGGCAGGAACACATACCTGTTTTGGAAGGCTAGCTGTGGGGTGTCGAGAAAAAGTCGTCATCATCATCACCATCATCATCATCAAAGAGGCCAGTGGGAGGGGGAAGGTAGGGGCTTTTCCTTGGAGTGGGCTGCTCAGGCTTCTGTGGCTCCTTCATTGATGGAACGGAGGCAGCACATCCGTGTCTCCTGTGAGTGAAGGGACAAGACAGACACAGCTGTGAGCCAGTGTGGGCCGGTTGAATTTACAGAAAAAAATTATCACCCACCAAAAACTTTTCATTTCAGTTAATCCACAAAATGCATTAAGAGGGCCCAATAGCCTCCATCCATTACTGCTACAGAACATCTCACAACGGAGAATCACCAGGTCACTCAAACACAAAAAAGTCCAAGGCCACTGAGCTCTAGGAGAATAAGAGCTAATATCAGTAAATGAGCTCTTTCTATAAGATGCTCAAAGCCCTTTGAAGCTCCCAGGTACTTCCTCATCTCCAGCCAGGCTTTAGAAGATGATAATTTTGAAATGGAAAAAACAGTATTTGTGTAGTTTTTAGAAAACAAACCTAAGTTATGTTACCTAAAAATACAGAAACAGCTCCTGCTGGGATTTTCTTTCCAGGTTTGGATGATGAAGACTCTAGAATGAGAAAGCAAGGGGCAACCATTTTTACAAGGGAAATAACTTTCCTTGCTATTTTATTCCTGAAATATGTGCAATGTAACACACAGCTAGTACCAGACATTTTGAAACTACTTTTTCCTGAACAAGCCATTTTAAAATGCTTTGGTATTTTCTTCTCTACCAATGTCAGGACTTTTTTGGGGATTGATACAATCTGAGCTGTGACTCCAATGGAAGAGCATGCTGACCGTCATCAAGCCACAGCAGTGGGTCAGCTGGGGGACACCAAGGGAGGAGGTGAGCACAGCAGAGGCAGGGACAGCATGACCAGGGCTCCCCCAAACAATTCCGCCTTTACCCATTCCAGTTGGATGAGAATGAACGAGTGAAAAAGAACCGCAAAAACATGTGAGTCATCAGTAAAAAATAAAGACATAAGAGCAAAGGGGGAAACCAAGCAAGTCACTGATGCCAAAACGTGGGCAGCAGAAAGCAGAGGAGAGCCAGGCTAGCAGCCCGCACAGCACGCACAAGGAGCGGCCTCCAAGGCCCAGCTCTGATGCCTGTGCCCGGGAGACTCGGCACTTAGAATCACTAATTCCCAAGTCCCAAGAACTGCCACAAACCTATGGAGTAACATTTGTAGGTTAAAAAACATATTTATATTTGTGTTTTTTAAAAACTGCACCAATGGGACAGGTGCGGTGGCTCATGCCTGTATTCCTAGCATTTTGCCAGGCCTAGGCGGGTGATCACTTGAGGATAGGAGTTTAAGACCAGCCTGTCCAACTGTCCAACACGGTGAAACACCGTCTCTACTAAAAATACAAAAACAAAAACAAAAACAAAACCTGCACAGATGATTTTAATGCACACTGGGTTGGGGAATTACTGGTCTCCAACTTATATACAGAATGTTAAAAATGTTTCTTTAAATTAAACTTCATTCAATGAAAATCATCCTCAACAGTGCTCTAGGGTACTTTTCTTGTTTGACTTTTTATGAGTTCTCTCCTAAGAAAGAGGCAAGACTGTGGTATGGGTTTACAGATGGTACTGTGTTTTCCAAGACATGAATTAGTGAAGATGAATTACTTTCAACTGGACCACAGTAAAAACAATAGCTTCCTGCTTAACACAGAAACAAGGCTTGGGAACAACCTTGTTCCATCTCCTAGTGAGGAAGACAGTTTTGGAACTCTGCACACAGAGACACAGCTGCCCAACCCCAGCTTACCCTCCTTAACAGAGGCTCCAGCTTGCCAATCCTGGGGGGCTTCCGTGAAGAGGTCACTCTGGTTGAAATAAGGTATATGACAAAGAATTCAAAAAACCAGGAGAAAGCACAGCTGCATTTGAGGATTCCTAAGGAAAAATAACCTACAAGATTTAAAGCTACATATTTACTACTCTGACAGAAAATCAGTTGCAAAGTGATAACTATGGCAAAATCAGACCCTAAAATAATTTAGGCCTGTCCAGGAATTAAAAACAAACGTGGAAGACAACAGATAAGGCAAGAAACAATCACCTAGTAAATTATTCACATTAACACGTGCACATCTTCTCCTCACCTAACAAAGCATAGAAGGATACGGCATTTCTCACTCTGTGATTCTTAGTTCAAAATGTCCCAAAATATGAAAATAGAAGCAACTTCCAACTGAGAAACTGTTTTTTCCCCACTAAACAAGCAAAGCCTATTTCTTCCCTGTGGACCCCTGACACAGCTAGCTGCAGGGAGTGTTGCTGGGTGCCATGGACTCACCTCCTCATCCTCATCATCAAAGAGCCCCTTGCCCCCACTGAACAGGCCACCTCCAGAGCCAAATGGCGAGAAGTCCTCGTCGGTCAGCTTGGGGGGTGCGAATAAGTTATCCTCTTCATCTAGCAAACAGAAAGCAATGTTTTGCAGGGAGTATTAAAGATGGGGCCAGAACTCAAATTCCCGGGTTGGCATCTGCTGTGTCTCCAAACTGGCATGGAGTTTATCTGGCCCTCTTTATCAAAGTGTGAGGCAGTCTGATGAATTTCACACTAACCCCCTGGCACAGTCCACTGACACCCTCAAAAGACTCTCTGGGCCTCCACTCTCAAGTCTGTCCATGTCTGCGGCAGACAGCATTCATTCTCTAGGCCAGCACCCTGGATCTAGATTTACTCTGAAGCAAGCATTCGGGTCAGATGCCACATTCAAGACCCATTCCCCCACGAATCTGGGGGAAGGAAGGGCAGAATAAACAAAGGGATCTGCAAACTGACACAGGGACACGTGGAATGTAATGGACATGGCTGTTTAATAGGAAAAGGCCTGGTGTATCCTTTATTGAAAACAAATGGTAGAGATCCCTAAGTTTCTATATTTCTAAAGAATTCTAGAAAGACAAGAAATGATTGCTGTAAAATCTAATAAATCAAATCTCTACAGGAATTTTTACTCCACACCCACATATCCTCCCAGCACCCCAAAACATGCCTTCCAAGGCTTTTGTTTGTTTGTTTTTGAGACGGAGTCTTGCACTGTCACCGGTGCTGGAATGCAGTGGCACGATCAAGGCTCACTGCAACCTCTGCCTCCCGGGTTCGAGCGATTCTCCTGCCTCAGCCTCCCAAGTAGCTGGTACTACAGGCACCCACCACCATGCCAAGCTAATTTTTTGTATTTTTAGTAGAAATGGGGTTTCACTATGTTGGCCAGGCTGGTCTTAAACTCCTGACCTTATGATCCACCCACCTCGGCCTCCCAAAGTGCTGGGATTACAGGCGTGAGCCACCGCGCCCAGCCCAGAGGCTTTAGAAAAGTAAATGGAGACAGACCCATTTGTCAGAAGGAAAACAGCATGTAAAGCAGTACTTCATGAATTATATAAGCAACATTCCCGAGTCAAAGGCTCCTAAAATAACAGAATTCAGGGAAAAGGCCCACCATCCGAAGGAGTTCTCCTTTCCTTCTTCTCGAGTGTCTTCCGAAGTTTTGCTTCTCCTGAGGGTAAGGCTTGAAGAACAGTTCACAGTTTTAATAGTACTAAGTCCTCCCTCAGTATACACATCCTGGTTCTTTCCACGTCTGTCATCCTCATAACTCACAGCTAAGAGCAAGACATCTGCCTTTCATCTCAGCTGCACTAAACCCCCTGTCCTGCCCACAGTGGGCACTCAAGAGTCTCTTTGTAAGGTAGAAGGCTTCTGCTTTCATCCCAGGCTCATGTGCATAACAGGATTGTATTTGTTGAAAGAATTATTATGTTATCTTTCTACCCTGTTATAACTAGAATATGCTATATAGCACATTCTTATGTGTTCAAAATATAGGAGTAAATATTCAGCCAGGAATTCTTAAGCTGTTGCCCATGGTTCTCTGGAGTTTCCATTAATCTCCTGAAATTATATGTAAAGTGTTATCTACATGTGTACATGTACATTTTTCTTGTGAGTCCACAGTGTTCAGTTATCTAAAGGAGCTCATTAACCAAAAAAGGAATAAGCGCTACAATTTAAGCCTCTTCTGCTGTAGTAATTACTAATAAAAAGGGAAATCCACCTTTGGTGAAGCCAGCAGAGGGCTCTGCACTACCCCCCCCTACTCCCCGTCAATGAGGCTGGGTCTCACTTGTCGGCTCCTCGTCCACTCCGCCCACGGCATCCCCCTTGATGCGGGCAGCCAGCTCACTGCAAACGAAGTAGGTCTGCTTTTCTAAAGTAGGAGAAATCAAAAGAATCTCTTTTTTGTAACAAACTAGTACACTTCACTTTGGACATCTAACAACATTATGTATACAAGAGCAAAGAAATTGAACTGAGGAGAAAACTGAGTTTAATTAAATGAACTTAAACATATGTACCCTATACAGCTCACCCAAGGAATAGGACTCATAAAATGTTCCTTCAAAGGGAGATGCTCTTTATTTCCTTATTTTTTTTAATACTTGACTTTAATACTTAAAAATCTGAATAAGAAAATAAGAAAAAGGTCATGGGCAGAGAGACAGGAGCACTACGGTCTTCAAACTCTGGAACCAGACATATTCTGAATGATCTGACTCATAAAATCATAACATCTGGACAAGAAAGTGGTACTTGTGAGGCAATTTGAGATGCTTGCCATTATTTTCCAAAGTGTAAATGAAATGACAAATATGCCAAAATGAGAGATGTTCAAAGTAAGTCACAATAAAAAATAAAAAAAGTCATTGGTTCTAAAACCCTGCCAAGTGATAGCAACTACAGCCTTCCTTACAGTTCTAGTATTTTCTTCAATGTCCTCAATATCTTTCTCCTCCTTCTCAGAGTCAGCAAAAAGGTCACAGCCATCATCATCCTCTTCCTCATCACTCACTTGTGTGATGTGCTAAGAGTATAAAATAGCAAATTAGAACTACTAGTTATTAAGCTAAAGAAGAGATACTGCCACTTAGCCTTTAGGCTGCTCCTTCAAAATCGTAACAGCTGTTTAAAATAATAATCATAATCATGATGCAGTAAGTTATAAAGCAAAAGATGTGCTGGAACAAATAATACACAAGATTTACTTCAAATCTAAATAAAAATGCATTCTTTAATAAGAATGTAACCACAAGAATATAAAAAGCAAAATATTAAGATATAAAAATTGTCTGTTACTAGAGAAATATTTTTATTTATTTATTTACTTTTTTTATTTTTGAGGAATTTTGTTCTTGTTGCCCAGGCTGCAGTGCAATGGGGTGATCTCGCCTCACTGTAACCTCCGCCTTCTGGGTTCTAGCAATTCTCCTGCCTCAGCCTCCCGAGTAGCTGGGATTACAGGCACCTGCCATCATGCCTGGCTAATTTTTATATTTGGTAGAGATTGGATTTCACCATGTTGGCCAGGCTGGTCTCAAACTCTTTACCTCAGGTGATCAACCTGCCTTGGCTTCCCAAAGTGCTGGGATTATAGGCATGAGCCACCACGCCTGGCCTATTACTAGAGAAATATAAACAAAATCAGTATAGTCTTACCTTAGTAAGAATACTGAGTAATAGTTAAAAGGTAAAAGCTGTAACAATTAGAGAGCCATCCAAGGTAGGTCAAGCAAAAAAGTTCCAATAACAAATCCAGCACGATACCGTGCCCCCTCTACATACAAGCATTTCTATGGAAACAGATATATTTATAAAAGCAAAGAAAAAGACGTGGAAAGACATGCTCCCAGAGCATGATCCTAGTTTCCTCTGAAGAGTATGCAGAGAAGGAAAGTACTGGAAGGCTCAAACTTAGCCTCATCTGTTAAGTTCTAATTTTTCCAAAGGTACACAGTAGTATGTATAACTAAAAAAAAATTTTGTTCAATGTTTGAATCAATGAACTGTGCCAGGCATGTTACTAAAAGCACTTTATTATCTAATTTAATCCTTACAACTTTGGGGTTAGCTGCAGCACACAAAACCAACCTGTTGCATAAGCTAGTGCTTTTACTCACTATACTGTACTGTTTTGAAAAACAGTTTGTGGCCAGGCATTGTGGCTCACGCCTGTAATTGGAGAACTTTGGGAGGGCGAGGCAGGTGGATCACCTGAAGTCTGGAGTTTAAGACCAGCCTGGCCAATATGGCAAAACCCTGTCTCCACTAAAAATACAAAAATTAGCTGGGCATGGTGGCACACGCCTGTAATCCTAGCTACTTGGGAAGCTGAGGCACGAGAGTCACTTGAACCCAGGAGGTGGAGGTTGCAGTGAGCCAAGATCATGCCACTGCACTCTAGCCTGGGTGTCAGAGTAAGACTCTGTCTCCAAACAAACAAATAAATAAATAAATGGGCTACTCTATTCAGGAGAAGTTCAGATTTTGGAGTCACAATGTTTCAGTGATAAATTCCAGGGTGTGGGACGTAGATTAAGGGTGTTAAGTACGTGGCCACTGAAGTTACCCATGATGGTGTTACATAAAATCCAAGTTTGGTAATTGGCTCGCCTCAATTTTACCAACCAAGTTCCAAGTTCTAAAGTGTGTATGTGTGTGTGTGCGTGCGCGCACGCACGTGTGTGTGTTTTAATCAATGTGGGGGAAATGGAAGAGGTTGGTAGATGGTGACTTAAAAATGAAGTCCCCTTAAGACTCTAAGACTGTTTTTGCAGACAGCAGTCTTAGTCTTCTTCCAGGCTGGAGTGGAGTGGTGCAATCTCGGCTGACTGCAACCTTGGTCTCAGGGGCTCAAGCAATCATTCCACCTCATTCTCCTGAGTAGCTCAAACTACAGATCTATGCCGCCATGTCCAGTTAATTTTTTTTTTTGTAGATATGGGGTTTCACCATGTTTCCCAGGCTGGTCTCGAACCGCCTTGGCCTCCCACAGTGCTGGGATTACAGGTGTGAGCCACCATGCCAGCCCAGCCTTAGTGTTAACACTGTTATAGGTTACTGTAACATATTGGCTCACAGTGTGTGTTCTCGGGTCTGCCTCTTTCCTGGTTACCTAATCATAAGTAAGTTACTTCTCCTTTCTGTACCTCAGTTTCCTCAACTATAATTTGGAAATAATATTCCCTCCCTCATAGTCATTGTGTGAATTAAATGAACAATGTATAAAATGGTAAATACTGAACACTTGATAAATGTTAGCTATTATTAAAGGAGAGACTGATATTTAAATGATTACAATACAATGTAATACCTTAGGATAAATACATAAAAAACAACTTTTTTCCTTCCTTATTTTACAGCTTTATTACTGATTTCCCTCTAAAAAGAGATCCAAATAAATGTGGAGCGACTCATTCTCATTATAGAGTAAGGAATCACAAAGTACCATAGTCACGTAACAAAAGCAAAAAAAAAAAAAAGCAATTGTTTTACCTTTCAACTGCTGATGTTATGTACAATCTATCACAAGAAGCATAGCTGTGCATTCATGAGCTGATTGTATTAACCTCTAGAATTTTAGAAACGAGCACATAGGAGGGCGTTTCAAGTATTCCTGATACTCCTTGTCATCTTCTGCGAATCTACTAGCAAACATCTCTTCAAAATTTGGAACAGCTTTGGCAGTGTCAGTCATTCCGAAATTCCCAAAGATTTGAGGCAGCTGTATTGTTTAATGTTTAGGTTGTTTAAATCCGCCAAGGGCTGTGTCTATCTAGCTCGGGCCGAACCCCGCCAGCGAGACACTAAGAGACCGCAGGAGAGGTGGCCTCTGGCCCACCACACCGTGGAACTCCAGACCACCCCAGCTCTCCAATGTAGTGGAGACCCTTCCGCTAGCCATCGAAAATAACTTAAGTCACTTAAGCTGTACTTGGGATAATCAGGTTATTTAATGAGGTGATAACTGAGGTGACTACAAAAGAAAAGTCTGGGATTGGGTGTGTGAGCAAGGTGCATGGGGACAGTGGTATGTTCTAGGTTGAAGGCTCACCCTAGGCCAAGCACCGTGGCACCTGTTTTACAATATCATAACTTTAATATCACATCCTTGCAAGATATGTAGCTTCGTTTTACTGAGGAAAGCTCAGAAAAGTTAAATAACTCGCCCTTGGGCACACATGACTGGAAAGAAATTGGGATTTTTATTTTAGTAAGTAAGTTGGTCAGGCACAAGGGCGACTCAGCAGAGGGAACTTCAAGGAAGTGTGAGACAACAGCTGGAGCCCTGAGCTGGGAGAGTGGAGGACGAATTATAAAGAGTTTTATGCCTGCCATAATGAGAAGCTTGTCCTTGAACTTGAGGGCAATGCTGAGAGTGCAAAGGACTTTAAGCAGGCCCTACACAGTGGCAGCCAAGCAGGTCATAAAGAGCAAGATGATGCCCAGGCAGATCAGGGATTCTCTATCTACAGAGCGTCCGCCTACCAGCTCCTTCACAGCAGCGGATTTTGCTGCAAGAGAAGAGGCAGCAGGCCAGGCCTTTTCCTTCGCCCACAGCGCCTACGTCGAAGGCTCCCAGGCTGGTTGCTCCACTGGCTGCTTGAGGTCCCCTCTTTCCAGACCCGCCGAACTGGCGGCCGGTGCTGTGGCCGATCCCGCGCCGCTGCCTCGGGCCTTGGGGGGCAGCGCCACCCGGCCAACCCGCCTCTGCAGCGTTCCTGGCGTCAGCCCCTATCCTCCAGCTTCCTCCGCCCCAACCTAGGGTAGAACCCCAAACTCCAGTCCCAGTCCACTTCCGCAGCTTCCTCCCCTCAGCATGGCAGGTCGGATCACGTGCGGGTTCTGTCACGTGACATCAGGTCACGTGAGGCCGGTCACGCCCCGGGCAGCTTGGCTGGGGCTAGGCTTCCGGGGCTCTGCAGTCCTCGGCGTGTGCTGGCAGCTTCGGAGCCCACCGAGCCGGGCGGCTAGGATGGTGAGGGCGCCGGGCAGGAGAGAGGCCGGCCTGGGCTGGGGCCGCCGTCCCTGCCGCCCTCAGGCTCAGCTTCTCTTCTCGTTTTTTTCGCTGCAGATGAACCGGACGACCCCCGACCAGGAGCTGGCGCCAGCGTCGGAGCCCGTGTGGGAGCGGCCGTGGTCGGTGGAGGAGATCCGCAGGAGCAGCCAGAGCTGGTCGCTGGCGGCCGACGCGGGCGTGAGAGGCGGGCCCCGGGGACGCGAGAGCGGCAGGGGTGACGCTTGGCTTGCGCGCAGGAGGGCCGGACCGCGACTGCCCCTGCACCTGGCCCGTCCCGTTGCCTGCCCTCTTAGGAACACACGCCCCGTTTAGCCCCCGAGAATGCCACCCTGGCAGTCCCCGGCCACCAGGGAGAGGGGCAGACACTGACCGTGGCCCAGACGCGACGTTCCCTTCATGGGGTTTCTGGCTCAGCTCCATCCGGAGGGGAGATCCGTTTCCGCCACACTGAGGGATTGCTCGGGCACTAGGGAGGCGATTCCTGTTGGGACCTGGACTAAATGGGGTGGGAAACAAGCCAGTATGTGGATATCCTTTAATGGGATTTTTCAAATCGGGGGCCCAAAAAGCTCAGAACTGTTGGAGTCCCAAATGAATAGGATTTTTGAATAAGAGTGGTGGTTGATTAGCTAACCCTTGGTCTGTGATCTCTGTAGATTGACAACCAAAGAGGACTTTTAAAAGGAGACAGGGTTTTGCCCTGTCGCCCAGGCTGGAGTGCAAGTGGCTTGATCTTGGCTCACTGAATCCTCTGGGGTTCAGGTGATCCTCTCACCTCAGCGTCCTGAGAAGCTGGGACTATAGGCGTCCACCACACCTGTCTGATTTGTTTATTTATTTAATTTTAGTAGAGATGGGGGTCTTGCTATGTTGCCCAGACTGGTCTGCAACTCCTGGACTCTAGCGATAACCCTGCCTCAGCCTCCCAAAGTATTGGATTACAAGCGTGAGCCACCATACCCAGTGCCAAAAAGGGATTTTAAATTTTTCCAGAAACGAGATAGGTGTCCATTAGCTCACTGCCACTCTTTTGATGAGCTTTCTTAGTGTTTTCCAATGTCACTTGGTTTTAGTACTTGTCAAACCAGCATTCCAGCCGGGCACAGTGGCTCACACCTGTAATCCTAGCACTTTGGGAGGCCGAGGTGGGCGAATCACGAGGTCAGGAGTTCGAGACCAGCCTGGCCAACATGGTGAAACCCCGTCTCTACTAAAAATACACAAAATTAGTTGGGCGTTGTGGCGGGCACCTGTAATTCCAGCTACTCGGGAGGCTGAGGCAGGAGAATCGCTTGAACGCGGGAGGTGCAGTGAGCCGAGATGGCGCCATTGTACTCCAGCCCAGGCAACAGAGTGAAACTCTCTCAAAAAAAAAAAAAGCATTTCTTTCACATTCTAACACTCAAAGGTGAAAGGAAATGGGTTCTTTTTTGATGTGACATGCAGAATAGTTACATGTAACATTGATACTACTGTATGTTTATTTTTTAAAATAGCTACTACAGTTTCTACAGGAATTCTCACAGCAAACTATCTCTAGGACCCATGAAATCAAGAAACAAGTGGACGGACTAATTCGGGAAACCAAAGCCACAGATTGTCGCCTGCATAATGTCTTCAATGACTTCCTTATGCTCTCTAATACCCAGTTCATTGAGAATGTGAGTTATTTAGTTATATTATCATTCCTTTTTTGGGAGTAGGAGATATTGTAATTTTAAATAACTTACTGTTAGGTTCCCTCCTAAATTTTGGTGGAAGTGTGGTTCTTGGTAATTGTAGCTTTTTTCTCTGGGATTAATACCTCTTTTTTATTTGTAAAGTTTTAAGTCCTTTTTTCCAAGCCTCTAAAAAAGTCTAATGATAACATTTTCTTATACTTCGGTGCTTCCATCTTTTGTCGTTTTGAGAGTAGTCAGCAATTGTGCTGAATTTTGTGGCACTCACACTGCCTTTGTTGTGGCGTGATCTGTAAGGACAGCTGTTTACCTGGTTAGACCCTCTGGACACCAGCATATGGTTTCACTTGTTGATTGGGGTCATTCTGTTCTGATAAATTATATTCAGGGGATATATATGTCTGCTTGCAATACTCTCAACTAAAGTTTATGATGGCTGAACTTACAATATGGAATCAACTGTAAACAGATTACTGAGCTTAAATCTATGTGTGATTTTTGTCTATTTACTGTTTCTTCTAGGTGGTAGGAATACATAGGTAAATTAGATAGAGCCTCTCCCTTGGCAAATAGTATAATTCCAGCATACAAAGGAAGTAAGTATGGCTGGAGCAGAGTGGAGACTTAAGAGATGAGGATGGAGAGGAAGCTTAGGTAACAGACCTGTGTTTCTCATAGGGTGTCCCAACTTTCTGAATATCAGCATTCATTTGTGGAAAAAGGATTATTAAAGTAAGCGATCTCCTGAGATTGTTAGATATAAAGTAATAAAATTTTCAGAATCACAAAATTATTTAAAAAGCCCAAGATTTAGAATAGTTAAGAGAATGCCATGTAGTCAACTTGTGCAGCATGTTTGTGCATTTTTTAATAGCTGGAGTTAAATGCCACTTCCTGTCTTTTTTTGGAGAGCTATATATAAAATAAAGACATTAATAAAGGTGTTAGAGATCTCTTTGCCAGTTATTTCCTTTAACAGCAAAGGAGTACTTATGAGTTTGAAAAATAACAAGTATTCGGCCAGGCGTGGTGGCTCATGCCTGTAATCCCAGCACTTTGGGAGGCCAAGACGGGTGGATCACCTGAGGTTGGGAGTTCGAGACCAGCCTGACCAACATGGAGAAACCCCGTCTCTACTAAAAAAATACAAAATTAGCCGGGCATGGTGGCGCATGCCTGTAATCCCAGCTACTTGGGAAGGCTGAGGCAGGAGAATCGCTTGAACCTGGGAGGCGGAGGTTGCGGTGAGCCGAGATCCTGCCATTGTACTCCAGCCTGGGCAATAAGAGCGAAACTCCGTCTCAAAAAAAAAAAAAAAGTATTCAAGTAAAATCAGTAGTTTTCTGATTGTTTACACAGAATGTCCATGCTTGGTCCTGACTATCTCACTGGAAAAGTCAGGGACTCTAGACTCAACTTCTCTGGTGTGCACAGCCCCATAATGTTTTCATCAAGATTAATTTGGTGTCCTTTTAAGCACTCCTGTTCTTTTCATTCTGTACTTTTCTTGCTGGATCAGGTAGTCAGCACTTCTCTGCAGTCAGTGCTGCAGCACCAGAGTCCCAAAGGATTTGGGAAGTTTCTTTTTTTTTTTGAGATGGAGTCTCACTCTGTCACCCAGGCTGGAGTGCAGTGGTGCGATCTCCGCTCACTGCAAGCTCCGCCTCCCGGGTTCACGCCATTCTCCTGCCTCAGCCTTCCAAGTAGCTGGGACTACAGGCGCGTGCCACCACGCCTGGCTAATTTTTTGTATTTTTAGAAGAGACGGGGTTTCACCGAGTTAGCCAGGATGATCTCGATCTCCTGACCTCGTGATCCGCCCACCTCGGCCTCCCAAAGTGCTGGGATTACAGGCCTGAGCCACGGCGCCCGGCAAGGGAAGTTTACTTTGTACCCAGTGTGCTTGTACCAGATTGGTACTAGATTGGTACCAGATCAATACTTCAGTGGGAAGAAATGGGGAACATCATACAATTTTTCTCAATCACAGTCTTAGGTCTTATCTTTTCTCCAGCTCTTTTCTAGCCAAGTTTTCGTAGATTCTGAGTTTTCCATGTTGTAGTTTTTGTGGAGTTTTTTTGGTTTTGTTTTATTGTGTTTTGGTAATTGTTCTTTATTTCTGTCCAATACTGGGGATTTCCTGTTTTCCATCCATCTCTCCATCCCTTTAGCCTTAGCTTTTTTTTTTTTTTCTTCCGAGACAGAGTCTTGCTCTGTCATCCAGGCTGGAGTGCAGTGACACCATCTCGGCTCACTGCAACATCCGCCTCCCGTGTTCAAGCAATTCTCCTGCCCACACCTCCCATGTAGTTGGGATTACAGGCTCCCGCCACCAGGCCTGGCTAATTTTTTTTCTATTTTTAGTAGAGATGGGGTTTCACCATGTTGGTGAGTCTGCTTTTGAACTTCTGACCTCAAGCGATCTGCCCATTGCAACCTCCGCCTCCCGGGTTCAAGCAGTTATCCTACTTCAGCCTCCCAAAGTGCTAGGATTACAGGCGCGAGCCACTGCGCTCGGCCCTTAGTGTTAAGTCTTGATGCCCCTTCGCCTTCCAGTCTGCAGCCAGAACTCTTCTCCGGATGTGCTGGTTGCCGCTGCCAAATCTTAATTACTTCCCAGACCTTCTATAAGGCCACATGCTATAGGTTTTTTTAATTTGTGGCAAAGCATGATAATACTGAGAAAACAGCTAATGCTTAATAAAACTCTGAAAAAATATAGTTGCTGATATATATTTGTAAGTGATCTGGCTTTTTTTTTTTTTTTTTTTTTTTGAGACGGAGTCTCACTCTGTCGCCCAGACTGGAGTGCAGTGGTGCAATCTCAGCCCACTGCAAGCTCTACCTCCCGGGTTCACGCCATTCTCCTGACTCAGCCTCCTGAGTAGCTGGGATGACAGGCACCCGCCACCACACCTGGCTAATTTTTTTTGCATTTTTAGTAGAGATGGGGTTTCACCGTGTTAGCCAGGATGGTCTCGATCTCCTGACCTCATGATCCACCCGCCTTGGCCTCCCAAGTGCTGGGATTACAGGTGTGAGCCACCATACCCGGCAATCTGGCTTTTTAATGTTTTATTTTCAATCCCTGACATCAGTACTTAGGTGTTACAATTCCAGCTTGAATTATGGTGCCATTTGGTTTCATGGTAATTTATCAGAAACATTCAAAGTCAGATAGGTTTCTGGGTCTTATTAATTAGCCTCAGGGGCAGCCACAAAGTTGCAAACTATATTATAAAGTTAGTGAAACAATCCAGACTTTCTAGGGCGAGAACAGTCAGGACTTTTTAGGGCAAGAGAAATTAATACCATTAGTAAAGGCTCAAGAGGGGACTTGGAGGGAGAAGAAATACTAATTAACATTGGCCAGTGTTCTAGTGTCTAATTAGAAGGCAACACAATTCTAAAGCCTTAATTATCTGTTAATTTAGGAATTGGATCCTGAAATAGCAAGTGCCATAGTTAATGACTTTAGTTTGTTAAATGAACTGGTGAGGGAGGATTTTTTCTTTTTAAAGTCAATTGTTTCCAAATCTTAGCTTTGTAAAATTAAAAAAAAAATTCCAGAATGAAACAAATTAACCTGTTTATGCCCAAGGTTAGAATTTTTTTTGTGAAAAGCCAGATCTTGGCAATGACCTTGAGCAGTAGGATATACATAACTCTGACAAGCTTAGTGTTCCAATAATGGGACACTAGGCATAAATTGGTTAATTTTCCAGATCATCTTCCTGTTGATTTATAAAAGCTGAATTTTGGTCATTTTTCCCTCCTTTTCTACTTTTCTATTGAAGAAACAGATGGAGTTGCTGAAACTGTCAAGTACTCAGCAATTAGAGAGAAGGAGGTAAAGCCCAAAAGCGTTATTAACATATAATTTCCTGCACAGGTTTTTCCCTCTCCCCCTAGACCTGCTTTATTTTACATAATGCCCCTTGCTTTTGACACTCCAGCCTTCTCATTCCTTGGAGATGCCATATGCCCTGCTGCTACGGGGCCTTTGCTTACATTGCTTCCTATGCCTCTACCCTTTGATTGACATCTGTCTGTCTTCTAGGTCTCTGCTCAATTATATTACTTCCTCCTGGACCCTCTGCACTAGGCACACCCCCTGGATAAAAGCAGCTGAAGCATCACATTCTTTAGTAGACTTCTTACAATTGTAATTTTACAATTATTGATGGGATTTGATGAGTTGGACCCTCCCGCTAAATCAAGCCCCATATTTTTAACAACAACTATATTTGAGGGGTCCAGCACAAGCCTGATATTTAGGGATCCAGTGAATATTTGAATGAATGAGAGTACGCATAAATGAAAGGGGACCAGGGCTGTGTATAGTCTGTTACTCTCCAGCCCTGGTCCCTTTTTCCCCAGTTCCCCTCTTTCCCCTTTTACCCTGTCTCCCCAGATGAGGAGCAATACCAAAGATATTTAACAGTCCTGGGTATAGCTATCTGACTGTAAATTGATCACAAAACACATGAAGCTGTGAGTTTAGCAGGTGAGGATGAAAGAAGTTAGCATTGGTTATCTGCTGGATATGAAGTAGTTGAGGATGCATAGTCCTGCTCACCCTGAAAAGATCCCATGGGCTTTAGGTCCCATGGGTTTAGGTTTCTTAGATGTCATGTTTGGCTTTCCAGCTGCAGGCTGCTGATAGGTAACCATGGTAGCTGCCAGGTCTTAAAGTCTCACTTTTGAGATTTACTTAACTTTTTGGAGTCCTGACTTTGAAAATTACCAAAGTAATCCCTGATCTTTATAGAGCAATTAGGAAAAGTAAGAAAAAGAAAAATCATGTGAAATTTCCTCAGCTTGAGGGGAGCCTCTCAAGGTTTAGCACATATATTCTAAGTCCATTTCCCATGCAGACATCAGGCTTAAAAGAATTGAACCTACAGTAGGCCGGGTGCGGTGGCTCACGCCTGTAGCACTTTGGGAGGCCGAGGTGGGCGGATCACGAGGTCAGGAGATTGAGACCATCCTGACTAACACGGTGAAGCTCCGTCTTTACTAAAAAATACAAAAAAATTAGCCAGGCGTGGTGGCAGGCGCCTGTAGTCCCAGCTACTCGGGAGCTTGAGGCAGGAGAAGGGCGTGAACCCGGGAGGCAGAGCTTGCAGTGAGCCGAGATCCTGCCACTGCACTTCAGCCAGGGTGACAGAGCAAGACTCCGTCTCAAAAAAATAATAATAAATAAATAAATAAATAATTGAACCTACAAAAAATCAGCTACCCCAAATTAACCAACCATTGAACTTTTCAGTGTATTTTTTTCTGTTCTTGTTTTTTAACTTTAACCTTTTCTAGATGACGGTATGTGTGTGTGTGTGTGTATTTACATTTGCAGCCTACTTTTTTTCTTAATGTGAACTTATTTAACCCATCTTTGAGACTTTTGTGAATATAATTTTTTTGTTCTTAAACCGTATCATAATTTATTTAATAATCTTCTAATATTAAATGTTATTTATGAAATGTTTCATAAATTTCATAAATGTTTCATAAATAAATAGAAAAGTTCAGAGAGAAACCACAAGTGCTAAGAAAATGTAGCACCTAGCATCAGTGGTTTTGTATCTTGCCACATTTGCTTCAAAGGTGCCTACCCACCATATTCGTCCTTAACTCTAATCATTTTGGGTGGGGATTCCTTGGTATCTCTGCCTTTTTATTCTTTTTTTGTTTTTGAGACAGGATCTCCCTCTGTTGCCCAGGCTGGAGTTCAGTGGTGGAGACAGCTCACTGCAGCCTCAAACTCCTGGGCTCAAGCCATCCTCCCATCTCAGCCTCCTGAATAGCTGGCTAGGACCACAGGTGTTCGCCACCATGCCTGGCCAACTTTTTATTCTTTTTACCTAGAGAGGGATTTCATTTTTATCCCTTATAGATAACCTTTATTGTGTAGTTGTTCTTTTCTTCATTGACTATTATGTATGAACGTTTGTGTGTGTTTATGTGAAAATAAAATCAGGCCTCCATGGAATTGTGGGTCTGTTTCTGCCCTCTGCTGTTTGTTTTGTTTCTCTGCTGTTTGCCAGTATCATAATCTTAAATACTGCAGATTTCTAATGTCTTATTAGGGCAAGTCCCCATAATCTCTTTTTATTCAGAATTGTCATGGTTATCAATCTTTGGCTTTTTACTTTTCTGTGTGAATTTGAGGATTATCTTTTACTTATTTATTTATTTTTTTGAAATAGAGTTTCAGTCTTGTTGCTCAGACTGGAGTGCAATTGTGCAATCTCGGCTCACTGCAACCTCTGCCTCCCAAGTTTAAGCGATTCTCCTGCCTCAGCCTCCTGAGTAGCTGGGATTACAGGCACCGGCCACCACATCAAGCTAATTTTTATATTTTTAGTAAAGATGGGGTTTTGCCATGGTTTCACCATGTTGGCCAGGCTGGTCTCAAACTCCTGACCGCAGGTGATCCCAAAGTGCTGGGATTACAGGCATGAGCCTCCCAAAGTGCTGGGATTACAGGCGTGAGCCTCCTAAAGTGCTGGGATTACAGTCGTGAGCCACTGCCCCCAGCACGATTATCTTACTATATTGTGCCACAGAATATTTTATTAGCGTTTGATTGGAATTGCATAGAATTATAAATTTGGTATTTGTGACTTTCTGCTGGAAATCATGATACCATGAACATTCTGATGTTTGCATTTATGATAATTTTCATGGGAGCTAAATTTCAAGAAGTAGAATTTTGGGTCAGAGGATATGATCGTTTAAAAACAACATTGTTTGATCAGATTGGCAGATACTTAAAGATGGGTGGACAGGAGCCATTGCTGGCAAAGGTTTGGGTAAGGGGCACTTGAGTATGCTGCTAGTGACAGGGAATTCTACACATTTGTGCATAGAATCTGGGAATGACTATTAAGATTTATTTATTCCCTCTCTAGGTAAAATCCCTCTCTAGGTATATAAATAAATAATAAATAAATAATCAGTTTCAGCCGGGCACAATGGCTCACACCTGTAATCCCAGCACTTTGGGAGGCCAAGGCCGATGGATCACTTGAGGTCAAGGAGTTTGAGACCAGCCTGGCCAACATGGTGAAACCCCATCTCTACTAAAAAAAAAAAAAAATGCAGGCCGGGCATGGTGGCTCACACCTGTAATCCCAGCACTTTGGGAGGCTGAGGTGGGCGAATCACGAGGTCAGATTGAGACCATCCTGGTTAACATGGTGAAACCCCATCTCTACTAAAAATACAAAAAAAATTAGCTGGGCATGGGTGGCAGGCACCTGTAGTCCCAGCTACTCGGGAGGCTGAGGCAGGAGAATGGCGTGAACCCAGGAGGCAGAGCTTGCAGTGAGCCGAGATCGCACCACTGCACTCCAGCCTTGGCAACAGAGTGAGACTCCATCTCAAAAAAAAAAAAAAAGGGCAAAAACAAATTAGCCGGGTGTGGTGGTGCCCGCCTGTAATCCCAACTACTCGGGAGGCTGAGACAAGAGAATCATTTGAGCCTGGGAGGTGGAGGTTGCAGTGAGCCAAGATCCTGCCACTGCACTCCAGCCTGGGTGACAGAGCTAGACTCTGTCTCTAAATAAATAAATAAATAAGCAGGAAGGGTAGGAGAGCTCTAAATATATGCACTTGTTAGCTTATATTTATGTTCAGAGCCTCAGGAAATGAGCATACACACCAGGCTTAAATTGGGTATTCCAAGGATCAGGTTGGGGATAGGGAGGGAACTATTTTAAAATACATCTCTTTTACATGTGCCTTTATATTGACTTAAAATTTTAAAAATTGAGATAGAATTCACATACCATAAAATTCAGTCCTTTAAAAAGTATACAATTTGGTGGTTTTTACTGTACTCAAAGTTTTATAATCACGGCCACTGTCTAATGCCAGAAGATTTTCATCAGTTCATTTATATTGACTTCTTATTTCTTTCTTTTTAAAAAATTTTAATTTCATTTCATTTTATTTTTGAGATAGGGTCTCACTTTTTCACCCAAGCTGCAGTGCAGTGGTGCAATCAGGGCTCACTGCAGCCTTTACCTCCCAAGCTCAAGAGTTCCTCCTGACTAAGCCCCACAAGTAGCTGGAATTACAGGTGCACACCACCATACCTGGCTAATTTTTGTATTTTTTGTAGAGATGAGGTCTCACTATGTTGCCCAGGCTGATCTTGAACTCCTGAGCTCAAGTGATCCCCTTGCCTCGGTCTCAGAGAGTGCTGGCCTTACAGGCGTGAGCCACCGCACCTGGCCTATATTGACTTTTTATAACAAGCATGTTGTACTTCGGTAGTTTTTAAAACATAAAAATGATTTTAAAAACCAAGAATCACAGTGATTTGGCAGAGCAGTGGGTCTTTTCTGGAAAAGAGAGTCTTGCCTACCCATGCTGTCAGGGTTAGTCAAATGCCCAGGCTTTCTGGCAAGTCAGTGGTAGATTTTTCTCTCTGCTTTCATACAAATGGGATAATAAAAATTTATCAGCCATTTTAAGCAACTGAATGAAAATAAGTTTTGCCTTTACCATTTTCCTTGTTCAAAATCCTGAAGTTCTAGTTTCCTAGTTGATAAATTACATCAGTTGACATTCTCCATAACCTGGGGTCAGAATACTGTATCATTGCCCATCAACATTATTAGGTTAAATGAAAAGGTGTGAAAACTGATATCTTACTGTTTTTGCAACTCTTGGTTTACAACGAGGTTAAAGTTTCATCATGTTTCCTAGTCATTTGTATTTAAAAATTTTCTTTTTTTTTTTGGTGAATGGACTATTCTTTGCTGTTTGTCCATGACCCACTGTTACGGACACCCACCTGGTAGTGGTCTCAGCCCTTTGCTGAATAACCATTTCCTTCCCCATCTTTGTCCTTAGTTACTGTGTGAATTCTTATATTGTGATTTATTTCCAATGACGTGTTGACCTTTTAACATTGAGTTTGCTTCCATATTTAGCGTGTATATGATGAAGAAGTGGAGGAGCCAGTACTCAAGGCTGAGGCAGAAAAAACAGAGCAGGTACTTGTATAAAATCACTCTTAGCTGAGTTTCTGACTTTGAAAAATGTGGTGGAGATCGATGTGTTATGTGGGAACTGGGGGATGGTGGGCGGGGTTGGGAAAGGGAGGGACTGCTCCTGACAGCAGCCCAAGAGGGGATTCTTTCCTTTGTTTCTGAAATGTAGTGTATTAACTAATACAGAGATCAAATCCTTGAATTCTGATATAAGAATAGAGTAGAAGTCAGCAAACTTCTTTTGTAAAGGGCCAGATAGTACATATTACAGATTTGGAGGGTCACAGAGGTCATTTTTTTCCTGTGGCTTCCTGAGTTACAGATGGACCAGCCTTCTTCCTGAGATCTTCTCACACCAGAGCCCAAAACATAGCTAAGAGGTTCTGGGTCACACTGACTTCTTAGCACTCCAGCAGAGATTTCTTTTTCTTCCACTCAGGAAGGCACATGGACTGTGAATAAGTTTATTATTGGAGTAGCTTTGATTTTGTTCTCATTTATTCAGAAAATATGGATCACCTGTAAAGGTTGGCCCTTTGTCAGCAATTATTACTTGTAACAGATGAAGCTGTTAGACTAGGAAAAGGGTATTCGAAACCAGCTATAGTTCTGCCTGTTGCCAGCATTTTTTAAAAAAAGTTATTTTATTTTATTTTTTATTTAAAAAAATTTTTTATTTTGAGATGGAGTCTCACTCTGTTGCCCAGGCTGGAGTGCAGTGGCACGATATCAGCTCACTGCAACCTCTGCTTCCTGGGTGCAAGTGATTCTCCTGGCTCAGCTTCCCGAGTAGCTGGGACTACAGGCGTGTGCCACCACGCCTGGCTAATTTTTTTGTATTTATTGTAGAGACGGGGTTTTGCCATGTTGGCCAGGCTCGTCTCAAACTCCTGACCTCAAATGATCCGCCAGCCTTGGCCTACCAAAGTGCTAGGATTACAGGCGTGAGCTACTGTGCCCAGCAGGTTATTTTATTTTTAATAGAACTCAAGGATTTGCTAGCCATTTAAGTGCAGTAGTATCTGGTTATACCAATTCAGGGTTTAATTTGAAGGTGATAGGTATTTAGTGTACTATTTTTAAAAACTGCTATATATTTCATACACATTTTCACAAACTCAGTACAATATTAGCTATTTAACTCAGAATCAAGCATATCCAAATAGAAAAATACACAACCAAGACAAAAAAGTTCAGTTAGAAAGACTTCAGTACTTGAGATAAAAGACTAAAATGCTCGTAGGGTTTTTTTTTTGCCTTTGGCCCTCAGAACAACACTGTGTGGTTTGGTTCCTTCTAGAATATTTGTAGAGGGGGAAATGACACTAAATATTTTTCGGTATTTCTCACAATGGCACACTTGTGTCTGCGGGGACTGCCATTGAGAACTGCTGTTGCAGGAAGAAGACACCTGAGGGAGATTCTCAGCCTGTTGGTGATATGAACAAACCTTTTTTCTTGAGTGGGGCATTGTTGTAGGGTATACACAGAATAGACCGGAGATGAAAATGACCCCCTTTTGATGTAGAACAGATTTATAAAATAATTGTAATTGTCCAGTATTTTTTTTTTGTCTCTTTAAACTGTAATTGAAAAATGAGACCTCTGTGACCTTCCTTCTAAGTCTTAACACCTAAAATTACCCAAGGGATAACCAGGGCTCGTGGGATAGTCATGGTGAGTCTGAGAGTCTAGGCCCTCCAGCAGTGGGGAAACAGCATGTATTCATTGTTGGGATACTTCTCCACACACTAGTTGTACCTCTGCTTTTGTAGACGATGACCCTTGAGCTCTGGAACCTTAGGTAGTTTGATGCATGTCCAGAAAGGGGCAAACTTGGGATTTAAAACTTGCAGTCTTACTCCAAAGTCTGTGTCAAGGCATTCAGCAGAATTTGACTTTTTTAACATTTTTAATAAGTTTTTTTGGAGCTTGAGGCTAGGCTTTAGAGAACATTCACAGTATTCTTTTGGGGCAGTATCAGTATATTGGAGACCCATACTGCATGGTATTTATTTTGTAGGAGAAGACACGAGAGCAGAAAGAAGTAGATCTCATTCCTAAAGTCCAGGAGGCTGTGAACTATGGCTTACAAGTATTGGACAGTGCCTTTGAGCAACTTGATATCAAAGCAGGAAACTCAGACTCCGAGGAAGATGATGCTAATGGGCGGGTGGAACTGATCCTTGAACCAAAGGTGAAGACATTCAACTTAAATATTTATTGCACAACTATTATGTTTGGGCTACTTTAATTGGGCACACGATTAGTAAGTCATGGACTTAACCTCTGGGAAGTGAGTATGTCACTTAGTAGTCTCACATTGACTCCACCAGAAAGACTCGCTTTACCTGAGCACTGATGGAGTACTTGTGAGGCGCAAGGCAACATGTCAAGTTGGGGTGCAAAGATGCAGAGCATGGCCTCTACTCTCGAGGTGTGTGTTGCAGTCTGGTGGGAGAGAGGAGACATACATACGAATAACCGTTGTAAATGCCCTGAGAGAGAATTGACTTCCAGCTGGAATTTTGGGGCAAAGATGATATTTGAATTGGGGTTTGAAGGGTGGGGAGGCTCAAAAGAGACAGAGAGTGTTGGGAACCTGAAATTATGTAGCTTGGGCTAAGGAAGACTGCAGAAGAACTGAAAGGCATTTGGGTTGTTTCCGGTTTGGGCAATTATTAAATACAAATGAAGCTGCTGTGAGCATTCACGTCCAGGCTCCCTCATAGCCTAGTGAGTGTTGGTTGCTTGACACACTTTCTCCCACATTGTTCAAAGAGACAATTGGGGTGACACAGAGTCTCTCGGTAGTGAACACAGAAAGTTACCACAGTGATTTATAGAAAGAGGCCTTGTGACACACAAGGCCTTCCGAATTAAAACATGCCACAGAACCAAACCCTTTTTTTTTTTTGAGACGGAGTTTCACTCTGTCCTCCAGGCTGGAGTGCATGGCACGATGTTGGCTCACTGCAACCTCTGCCTCCTGGGTTCAAGCGATTCTCCTGCCCCAGCCTCCCGAGTAGCTGGGATTACAGGCGCCCACCACCACACCCAGCTAATTTTTGTATTTTTAGTATAGACAGGGTTTCACCATGTTGGCCAGGCTGGTCTCGAACTCCCGACCTCAGGTGATCCGCCTGCCTTGGCCTCCCAAAGTGCTGGGATTACAGACATGAGCCACCGCACCCAGCCTGAACCACTCTTCTAGTCATTCTGTAGCTGCACATTTCTCTTCCAGTTTGAGCTTTGCTGAGTCACACCAAATTGAGGCAGATCATTTGGCACTGACCGGTACACTTGCTGCTTGGATTTTCACTGTATGCCTTTAAAAGTCAGCAGTGGACTCTGGGAAATGGATTGCCTGGACCACACTTGATACTTCCAAGACACACAGCACTTTCTCTCTTTTTTTTTTCCCCTTGCAGAGAAAGTTGTGGAGGTACACTTTTCTTTTGTAGGAGGATTTGGGGTTGTCTTCTGAGTCAGTGAGAATTAGTCCAAATTAACGCTGTCTTTGCCTTATGCTCCATTGGTTGCTGTGACGTCGTTGAACCTTTACTTTAACCTTCCCAATCTTTCTGTTGTTGTGTGAAATGTCAGAATTATTCTCCCCTGCCCCAGAGTCCTTTGACAAGGAAGAGATATCATTGCCAAAGGGCAATGCCTCACAGGGGACAGGGCAGCATTTCCTTCAGCAGTGGAGGTAGGAGGCTGTGCAAGGGTGGAGCACTTTCTTGACCCTATTTTTTTTTTTTTTTTGAGACAGAGTTTCACTCTTGTTGCCCAAGCTGGAGTGGCGCAATCTCGGCTCACTGCAGCTTCTGTCTCCTGGGTTCAAGTGATTCTCCTGCCTCAGCCTTCCAAGTAGCTGGGATTACAGGCATGTAACATGACACCTGGCTAATTTTTGTATTTTTTAGTAGAGACGGGGTTTCACCATGGTGACCAGGCTGGTCTTGAACTCCTGACCTCAAGTGATCCGCCCGCCTCGGCCTCCCAAAAGTGCTGGGATTACAGGTGGGAGCTACTGCAACCGACCAACCCTAAATTTTTAATGTGTGTGTGGTGTGGGACTGACAGGAGTAGACGGCTGACATGGGCAGATCTCCAGCATGTGCTGTTGGGGCCACAGTCTCCTGCCCTCACTCTGTTTTCTCATCTGGTCTTATTTTACCAACTTCAATTTTCTAAATTCAACAGTGTGGAACCACTAGGGGGTATTGTTCTTCTGTTTATTGAGTTATAATCTTTTTTATTTATTTATTTATTTATTTTGAGTCAGAGTTTCGCTCTTGTTGCCCAGGCTGGAGTGGAGTGATGTGATGTTGGCTCACTGCAACCTCCACCTCCTGGGTTCAAGAGATTCTCCTGTCTTAGTCTCCTGAGTAAATGGGATTATAGGTGTGCGCCACCACACCCAGCTAATTTTTAGTATTTTCGGTAGATATTGGGTTTCACCACGTTGGCCAGGCTGGTCTCAAACTCCTGACCTCAAGTGATCCATCTGCCTCAGCCTCCGAAAGTGCTGGGATTACAGGCATGAGCCACTGTGCCCGGCCTAATCTATTTTTATATTAAAATATATAGTTACATTATGTCTCATTAGTACTGCTTTTTAGGGGACAGCTCACCAGAATGTTCAGTTTCTTTCCTTGGTCCTCCTCTTCTTGGACCTTATACTAGGAGGTTGTACCCTTTTCCCTGTTTGCTTGCTGCTGATAGACTTTTGGTAGGCTTTTGCCATTTTTGTTAAATTTTGTTAATTAGGCCCTTGGGGAGGGAGATTCTGTGTGATACAGCTTTACTTTGGTATCTTTTTTTTTTTTTTTTTTTTGAGATGGAGTTTTGCTCTTATTGCCCAGGCTGGAGTGCAGTAGTGCAATCTCAGCTCACTGCAACACTGTTTCCTGGGTTCAAGTGATTCTCCTGCCTCAGCCGCCCGAGTAGCTAGGATGACAGTTACCCGCCACCATGTCCCGCTAATTTTTTTGGATTTTTAGTAGAGACGGGGTTTCACCACGTTGGTCAGGCTGGTCTCAAACTCCTGACCTCAAGTGATCCACCCGCCTTGGCTTCCCAAAGTGCTAGGATTACAGGCGTGAGCCATGGTGCCCGGCCTTACCTTGACATCTTTACCTAGGATTTGACTTTTAAAAAAATCAGTGAAAAAAAGAATTTTTTTTTTAACTTTTAGTCCTGCTGTGTTTCTTATTCTCCACTTTCGTTATGTAGCTTGTTTGGGATAGTCAGATGGAACAGGGTATCAGGTGGCACATGTAAGTTTGTTTTCAACTGAAATGTTTGACAGCCTATTCCTTTCATGATGTACAGGATCTATACATTGATCGTCCTTTACCATATCTCATTGGGTCAAAGCTGTTCATGGAACAAGAAGATGTAGGTCTTGGAGAGCTGTCCAGTGAAGGTACTTTTCTTCACCAAATAATTTTGTTCCTTAACATTTCTTTTTTATTTTAAAATAATTTCAAATTTTACATTAAAGTTTCAAGAATAGTTCAAAGAACTCTCATATACCCTTCACCTGGGTTTACCAGTTAACATTTCACCACATTTGTTAGATTGTTCTCTACATATACGTAATATTTTGTCTTGAGCCTATTTGGGAGACATCATGCTCATGCCCTGTTACTTCTAAATGTTTCTCTGTGTGTTTTCTTTTTTTCTTTTCTTTGTCTTTTTCTTTTTTTGAGACAGAGTCTCGCTCTGTGGCCCAGGCTGGAGTGCAGTGGTGCGATCTCAGCTCACTGCAACCTCCGCCTCCCGGATTTAAGCGATTTTTCTGCCTCAGCCTCCTGAGTAGCTGGGACCACAGGCGTGCACCACCACACCTGGCCAATTTTTGTATTTTTAGTAGAGACGGGGTTTCACCATATTGTCCAGGCTGGTCTCGAATTCCTGACCTCATGATCTGCCCGCCTCGGCCTCCCAAAGTGCTGGGATTACAAGCATGAGCCACCGTGCCCGGCTGTTTTTCTTTCTTTCTTTCTTTTTGAGCCGGAGTTTCTCTCTGGTCACCCAGGCTGGAATGCAATGGCGCGATCTTGGCTCACTGCAACCTCCACCTCCTGGGTTCAAGCAATTCTCCTACCTCAGCCTCCTGAGTAGCTGGGATTACAGGTGCCCACCACCACACCTGGCTAATTTTTGTATTTTTAGTAGAGATGGGGTTTTACCATGTTGGGCAGGTTGGTCTCGAACGCCTGACCTCAGGTGATCCTCTGTGTGTGTTTTCTAAGAACAAGGACATCTCTTGTATAATCACAGTAGAATTACAAAGCCAGGATATTTTCCTGGACATAAGGGTATTATCCAATCTGCTGCTATGTTCACATTTTGCCGTTTGTCCCAGTGACACCCTTTACAGTCTCTCTCTTTTGTTCTGTGGTCCGGGACTCAATCCAGGACCAGCCACCACATTTGGTTGTCAAATCTTCAGTTATCTTTTAATCTGATGCCATTTCTCAGCCTTTCTTTGCTTTTTATGACCCTGACATCTTTAAAGAGTACAAGCAATTTTTTTTTTATTTGTAATGAATAATTTTTGGGGGGAGAGATACTTCAAGACTACATAAATATGTAATTCCTCACCATAATGACACTTTCAATTCCAGTAAGTGGGTATAGATGGTTTTATCAAGATCTCTGTGATGCTGTTGTATGGTGGTTTGTGATTTTGAGCTAAGGACATTTTCTTGTGAATATTGGTGTGGTGACCCTTATCTCTCTTCTCAACAGAAGGCTCTGTAGGCAGTGATCGTGGCAGTATTGTGGACACTGAGGAAGAGAAAGAAGAGGAGGTAAGGGCTGTTTGGTATGACCAGGTCACGGTGGGCAGCAAGCTTAATTTAAGATGGGCCTAGCAGGCTAAGTAAATAGCATAACTGTGAATTCGTAATCTGCTTCCATAAAGCTTTTAACAGTGATAGAAGCCACATTCTGAGTTTTTTTTCCCAAGGGTTAGATTTCCTTTTTGCCTTATGTACAATAATAGGGAAAGCTGCTTTCATCTCTTCCACTATTATCCTCTCTCCCACCTTGCCACCAAATATCTCTTTCACCCAATATATTTTTGAGAAGGGCAGCTTAGATGTTTTGGTGGAATCTCTGCCTGGGATATAGTCTTTGAGTATATTCTGTCTTTGAATAATTCTAAGGGAAAAAATCTACATTTAGAACTTTTGTAAACTATAAAACCTAGAGCAGGATATACCGAAAGCCACCACTTACATTCTATTTTGCTGCTGCCGCTAGCGCTTTCATATCCACAGAGCATAATTTCATTTCCTTGTCTAGAGTTTGAGTTTGTGGGCCTTGACTACAGTTGAATCTGTAGTTGTTCTTTAGATGGGATATTCGTTATTGCAAAGGACACAGCCATGTTGCAGGAGAGTCCTCGAGTATGGGATTTCCGAAAGGAGACAGTGTTGTGTATGTGCTTTTCTCTTCTGGTTGGTCCCCCTTTCTGCACTCTCCCTGCCCGCCTTTCTTCCAGTCCTCCAAAGAAAAACCTGACAGCAGGAAATGAGCTTTTCTTAAGTAACTTTCGTATAACAAAAGCAGTGCTCATTAGGGGAATCCCTTGCTTTTAGCCACCGATGTGGCACTTCTATGTGGCACTTCATCAATAGTTGCTCGTAGCAACTATTGATGTCCCCTTCTTGGGCCTAATGAAGTAGTTATTTTTATTATTTTTTTTATTATACTTTAAGTTTTAGGGTACATGTGCACATTGTGCAGGTTAGTTACATATGTATACATGTGCCATGCTGGTGCGCTGCACCCATTAGCTCGTCATCTAGCATTAGGTATATCTCCCAATGCTATCCCTCCCCCCTCCCCCCACCCCACCACAGTCCCCAGAGCGTGATATTCCCCTTCCTGTGTCCATGTGATCTCATTGTTCAATTCCCACCTATGAGTGAGAATATGCGGTGTTTGGTTTTTTGTTCTTGCGATAGTTTACTGAGAATGATGGTTTCCAGTTTCATCCATGTCCCTACAAAGGACATGAACTCATCATTTTTTATGGCTGCATAGTATTCCATGGTGTATATGTGCCACATTTTCTTAATCCAGTCTATTATTGTTGGACATTTGGGTTGGTTCCAAGTCTTTGCTATTGTGAATAATGCAAGGAAATAGAGACAGTATAGTCCAAAATGTAAAATAACACAAACTGACTTTCAGTAATTTAGTTAGTTAAATGTGCAACTCTTTAAATCCAAAGGCAAGAGTTGAAAGTGCAGGTGATGTGAACAAATTGTTAGAGGCATTTAAGTGAACCACAAAAATTACATGTTAACTGGAACAACCCTTCACAATATTGCCAGCTATCCAGCTTATCTGCACCTTGATACTTAAGGTGACCAGTAGTCAGTACAAAGAGACTGAGTGTCAGAGCTTTTTCTCCACTTGACATAGAATCAGCCTGCCCCAGAGACTTAGACCTGCAATCATTTCTGTGCTTCTAAGTAAAGCCCATTTAACAACAAAGCCTTTTCTTCCCCACAAAGGAGTCAGATGAAGATTTTGCCCATCATAGTGACAATGAACAAAACCGGGTAAGGCTCATATATTGAAATGACTTTGTTTTTACATTTTAATTGAAGCATAGTATATATACTAATATTACTTTGGAATGATTTATGACCAAGTGAGGATTTTTTCTTGTATACAATTTATTTTCCTTTAAGCATTTCATGTATTTAGGCTAACTACCTCCTTTGTATATATTTTTTCCAATTTTGCTTTATAGTTTATTTTTCTTAGAAAAGAAGTTTCAAAGAAGTGAAAAACACAATTGGAAAACAGAGCCTCTAAAAGAAGACTCAGTTACCCAAACTGAACTACTTTGCATGAGTCCCTCTTCTGTTTTAAAATTGGAGACAATCTAGCAGTAACATTATTGAGTATTCACAAGATGAAAACTTCTTACCCTACTGTCTTAGCACGGTTATCTTAATTTTTGAATAGCTAAAGGCGTATTCTTTTCATAGTGTGCATCTTTCATTTTCTGCCATTTTATGTTAACATTTTATAAATGTATCCTTATTTATTATTATTATTTTTTTGAGATGGAGTTTTGCTCTTGTTGTCCAGGCTGGAGTGCCGTGGCATGATCTCAGCTCACTGCAACCTCCGCCTCCTGGGTTCAAATAATTCTTCTGCCTCAGCCTCCCGAGTAGCTGGCATTACAGGTGCCCACCACCATGCTCAGCCAACTTTTTTTGTATTTTTAGTAGAGATGGGGTTTCACCATGTTGGCCAGGCTGGTCTCGAGCTCCTGACCTCAGGTAATCCACCCACCTTGGCCTCCCAAAATGCTGGGATTACAGGCGTGAGCCACCATGCCTGGCCTCCTTATTTTGAATAGCCTTTGCAGTTTGCGTTGTAAACTTCTATACTTTTAAACATACTGAGTATGATACTGTCATAGTCTCTAAATGTATAAGGGAAAGGGTTTATTTCTAGAGTTGTATTTTTGATGTAATAATGTATTCAATATTTTCTTTTCTTTTTTTTGAGACAGAGTCTCGCTCTGTTGCCTAGGCTGGAGTGCAGTGGTGTGATCTCAGCTCAATGTAATCTCCGCCTACAGGGTTCAAGCGATTCTCATGCCTCAGCCTCCCTGAGTAGCTGGGACTATGGGTGTGTGGCACCATGCCCGGCTAATTTTTTGTATTTTTAGTGGAGTCAGGGTCTTCCCATGTTTCCCAGGCTGGTCTTGAGCTCAGGCAAACCGCCCACTTCGCCCTCCCAGAGTACTGGGATTACAGGTATGAGCCACCACGCCCAGCCAATATTTTCATATATAGAAATCCTTTGCTTCGGTGAACTGTTTCTTCAGAATGAGGTGGTATAGAGTTATGTTAATAACTCTTAATGTCTGGTGGACATTCTAAATTAAGTATTATGCATGTAGATTTTCCTACAATCTCATCACTGGGGTGATTATTTTAAATTTCTTTTAGTTAAAAATTTGCATTTAAATTTCTTAACTGGGAAATATTTTTTTCACAAAAATGTTTAACTATCAAATGAAGGATTTTATACTTTCTGGTTGTTACTGTATTTTCCTGGTTGTATTCATAAATGTGGTTGATCTCTATAATTTTAACGATCAGTCTTTCTTCATAGGATATTTGTTTCTATGGAATTTCCTATTAAGATCTGTAAATGCAAACAGTTTTTCTTTCCTTTTTTTTTTTTTTTTTTTTTTTTGAGACAGAGTCTCTCTCTGTTACCCAGGCTGGAGTGCAGTGGCACGATATTGGTTCACTACAACCTCCACCTCTTCGGTTCAAGTGATTCTCATGCCTCAGCCTCCCAAGTAGCTGGGATTATAGGCATGTGCCACCATGCCCAGCTAGTTTTTGTATTTTTAGTGGAGATGGGGTATCGCCATGTTGGCGCGGCTGGTCTTGAACTCCTGACCTCAGGTGATCTGCCTGCCTCAGCTTCCCAAAGTGTTGGGATTACAGGCGTGAGCCACCACGCCCGGCCACAAACAGTTTTTCAAAAACAGTACAGTATAGTGAGTAAAAGCACTAGCTTATGCAACAGGTTGGTTTTGTGTGCTGCAGCTAACCTCAAAGTTGTAAGGATTAAATTAGATAATAAAGTGCTTTTAGTAACATGCCTGGCACAGTTCATTGATTCAAACATTGAAAAAAAATTTTTTTAATTATACATAGTAGTGTGTACCTTTGGAAAAATTAGAACTTAACAGATAAGGCTAAGTTTGAGCCTTCCAGTCCTTTCCTTCTCTGCATACTCTTCAGAGGTAACTGGGATCATGTTCTGGGAGCATGTCATTCCAAGTCTGTTTCTTTGCTTTTATAAACACATCTGTTTCCATAGAAATGCTGTAGTGTTTGCAGAGGGGGCGGGGCGTGGTATCATCCTGGATTTGTTATTCTGCGCTTTTTTGCTTGACCTACCTTGGATGGCTCTCTAGTCGTTACAGCTTTTACCTTTTAACTATTACTCAGTATTCTTACTAAGGTAAGACTATGCTGATGATGTTTATATTTCTCTAGTAAAAGGCTGGGCATGGTGGCTCACGCCTGTAATCCCAGTGCTTTGAGAATGTAATCCCAGCGCTTTGGGAAGCTGAGGTGGTTGGATCACCTGAGGTCAGGAGTTCGAGACCAGCCTGGCCAACATGGTGAAACCCCGTCTCTACCAAAAATATAAAAATTAGCCGGGCGTGGTGGCGGGTGCCTGTAATCCTAGCTACTCAGAGGGCTGAGGCAGGAGAATGGCTTGAACCTAGGAGGCGGAGGTTGCAGTGAGCCGAGATCACCCCATTGCACTTCAGCCTGGGCAAAAAGAGCGAAACTCCTTCTCAAAAATAAATAAATAAATAAAAATATTTCTCTAGTAAGCCATTTTTGATATTTTAATATTCTGCTTTTTATATTCTTGTTGTTACATTCTTATAAAGGATACATTTTTAGGCCGGGCTTGGTGGCTCACGCCTGTAATCCTAGCAGTTTGGGAGGCTGAGGCGGGTGGATCACCTGAAGTCAGGAGTTCAAGACCAGCCTAGACAATATGGTGAAACTCCATCTCTACTAAAAATACAAAAAATTTGCTGGGCGTGGTGGTGCATGCGTGTAATCCCAGCTACTCGGAAGGCCGAGGCAGGAGAATAGCATGAACTGGGCAGGCAGAGGTTGCAGTGAGCCGAGATCGTGCTGATGCACTCCAGCCTGGGCCACAGAGCTAGACTCCATCTCAAAAAAAAAAAAAATATATATATATATATTTATATTTATATATATATATTTATATTTTATATATATTTTTATATATATATTTTTCTTAGATTCAAAGTAAATCTTGTGTATTATTTCTTCCAGCACATCTTTTGCTTCATAACTTGCTGCATCATGTTTATGATTATTATTTTAAAAAGCTGTTACTTCTTTGAAGGAGGAGCCTAAAGGCTGACAGTATCTCTTCTTTAGCTTAATAACTAGTAGTTCTAATTTGGTATTTTATACTCTTAGCACACCACACAAATGAGTGATGAGGAAGAGGATGATGATGGCTGTGACCTTTTCGCTGACTCTGAGAAGGAGGAGGAAGATATTGAGGACATTGAAGAAAATACTAGACCTGTAAGGAAGGCTGTAGTTGCTATCACTTGGCAGAGTTTTAGAACCAATGACTTGTTTTTCTTTTTATTGTGACTTACTTTGTACATCACTCATTTTGGCATATTTGTCATTTCATTTACACTTTGGAAAATAATGGCAAGCATCTCAAATTGCCTCACAAGTACCACTTTCTTGTCCAGATGTTATGATTTTATGAGTCAGATCATTCAGAATATGTCTAGTTCCAGAGTTTGAAGACCATAGTGCTCCTGTCTCTCCATCCATTCACCTTTTTCTTATTTTCGTATTTAGATTTTTAAGTATTAAAGTCAAGTATTAAAAAGAATAAGGAAATAAAGGGCATCTCCCTTTGAAGGAACATTTTATGAGTCCTATTCCTTGGGTGAGCTGTATAGGGTACATATGTTTAAATTCATTTAATTAAACTCTGTTTTCTCCTCAGTTCAATTTCTTTGCTCTTGTATACATAATGTTGTTAGGTGTCCAAAGTGAAGTGTACTAGTTTGTTACAAAAAAGCGATTCTTTTGATTTCTCCTGCTGTAGAAAAGAAGCAGACCTACATCGTTTGCAGATGAGCTGGCTGCCCGCATCAAGGGGGATGCCGTGGGTCGAGTGGACGAGGAGCCGACAAGTGAGCCCCAGCCGCGTTGATGGGGAGTAGGGGGGGAGTAGTGCAGGGCCCTCTGCTGGCTTCACCAAAGGCGGATTTCTCTTTTTATTAGTAATTACTACATATATTTATTAGTAATTGCTACATATAATTTAAATTGTAGCGCTTATTCCTTTTTTGGTTAATGAGCTCCTTTAGATAACTGAACACTGTGGACCCACAAGAAAAACGTACATGTACACATGTAGATAACCCTTTACATATAATTTCAGGGGATTAATAGAAACTCCAGAGAACCATGGGCAACAGCTTAAGAATTCCTGGCTGAATATTTACTCCTATATTTTGAACACGTAAGAATGTGCTATATAGCATATTCTAGTTATAACAGGGTAGAAAGATAACACAATAATTCTTTCAACAAATACAATCCTGTTATGCACATGAGCCTGGTACGAAAGCAGAAGGCTTCTGCCTTACAAAGAGACTCTTGAGTGCCCACTGTGGGCAGGGCCAGGGGGTTCAGTGCTCTGGTGCAGCTGAGATGAAAGGCAGATGTCTTGCTCTTAGCTGTGAGTTATGAGGATGACAGACGTGGAAAGAACCAGGATGTGTATACTGAGGGAGGACTTAGTACTATTAAAACTGTGAACTGTTCTTCAAGCCTTACCCTCAGGAGAAGCAAAACCTCGGAAGACACTCAAAGAGAAGAAGGAAAGGAGAACTCCTTCAGACGGTGGGCCTTTTCCCTCAATTCTGTTATTTTAGGAGCCTGTTGACTAAGGAATGTTGCTTACATAATTCATGAAGTACTGCTTTACATGCTGTTTTCCCTCTGACAAATGGGTCTGTCTCCATTTACTTTTCTAAAGCCTCTGGGCTGGGCGCGGTGGCTCACACCTGTAATCCCAGCGCTTTGGGAGGCCGAGGCGGGCGGATCATGAGGTCAGGAGTTTAAGACCAGCCTGGCCAACATAGTGAAACCCCATTTCTACTAAAAATACAAAAAATTAGCTTGGCATGGTGGTGGGTGCCTGTTGTCCCAGCTACTTGGGAGGCTGAGGCAGGAGAATCACTTGAACCCGGGAGGCAGAGATTGCAGTGAGCCTTGATCGCGCCACTGCATTCCAGCCCAGGTGATGGTGTGAGACTCCATCCCAAAAACAAACAGAAGCCTTGGAAGGCATGTTTTGGGGTGCTGGGAGGATATGTGGGTGTGGAGTAAAAATTCCTGTAGAGATTTGATTTATTAGATTTTACAGCAATCATTTCTTGTCTTCCTAGAATTCTTAGAAGTATAGAAACTTAGGAATCTCTAGCATTTGTTTTCAATAAAGGATACACCAGGCCTTTTTCTGCAAACAGCCATGTCCATTACATTAGACTTGTCCCTGTGTCAGTTTGCAGATCCCTTTGTTTATTCTGCCCTTCCTTCCCCCAGATTGGTTGGGGAATGGGTCTTGAATGTGGCGTCTGACCCGAATGCTTGCTTCAGAGTAAAGCTAGATCCAGGGTGCTGGCCTAGAGAATGAATACTGTGTGCCACAGACGTGGACAGACTTGAGAGTGGAGGCCCAGAGAGTCTTTTGAGGGTGTCAGTGGACTGTGCCAGGGGTTTAGTGTGAAATTCATCAGACTGCCTCACACTTTGTTAAATAGTGTCAGATAAACTCCATGCCAGTTTGGAGACACAGCAGATGCCAACCCGGGAATTTGAGTTCTGGACCCATCTTTAATACTCCCTGCAAAACATTGCTTTCTGTTTGCTAGATGAAGAGGATAACTTATTCGCACCCCCCAAGCTGACCGACGAGGACTTCTCGCCATTTGGCTCTGGAGGTGGCCTGTTCAGTGGGGGCAAGGGGCTCTTTGATGATGAGGACGAGGAGGTGAGTCCATGGCACCCAGCAACACTCCCTGCAGCTAGCTGTGTCAGGGGTCCACAGGGAAGATATAGGCTTTGCTTGTTTAGTGGGGGAAAAACAGTTTCTCAGTTGGAAGTTGCTTCTATTTTCATATTTTGGGACATTTTGAACTAAGAATCACAGAGTGAGAAATGCCGTATCCTTCTATGCTTTGTTAGGTGAGGAGAAGATGTGCACGTGTTAATGTGAATAATTTACTAGGTGATTGTTTCTTGCCTTATCTGTTGTCTTCCACGTTTGTTTTTAATTCCTGGACAGGCCTAAATTATTTTAGGGTCTGATTTTGCCATAGTTATCACTTTGCAACTGATTTTCTGGCAGAGTAGTAAATATGTAGCTTTAAATCTTGTAGGTTATTTTTCCTTAGGAATCCTCACATGCAGCTATGCTTTCTCCTGGTTTTTTGAATTCTTTGTCATATACCTTATTTCAACCAGAGTGACCTCTTCACGGAAGCCCCCCAGGATCGGCAAGCTGGAGCCTCTGTTAAGGAGGGTAAGCTGGGGCTGGGCAGCTGCGTCTCCGTGTGCAGAGTTCCAAAACTGTCTTTCTCACTAGGAGATGGAACAAGGTTGTTCCCAAGCCTTGTTTCTGTGTTAAGCAGGAAGCTGTTGTTTTTACTGTGGTCCAGTTGAAAGTAATTCATCTTCACTAATTCATGTCTTGGAAAAAACAGTACCATCTGTAAACCCATACCACAGTCTTGCCTCTTTGTTAGGAGAGAACTCATAGAAAGTCAAACAAGAAAAGTACCCTAGAGCAATGTTGAGGATGGTTTTCATTGAATGAAGTTTAATTTAAAGAAACATTTTTAACATTCTGTATATAAGTTGGAGACCAGTAATTCCCCAACCCAGTGTGCATTAAAATCATCTGTGCAGGTTTTTTTGTTTTTTTGTTTTTTGTTTTTGTATTTTTAGTAGAGACAGGGTTTCACCATGTTGGACGGTTGGACAGGCTGGTCTTAAACTCCTATCCTCAAGTGATCACCCGCCTAGACCTGGCAAAATGCTAGGAATACAGGCATGAGCCACTGCACCTGTCCCCTTGGTGCAGTTTTTAAAAAACACAAATATAAATATGTTTTTTAACCTACAAATGTTACTCCATAGGTTTGTGGTAGTTCTTGGGACTTGGGAATTAGTGATTCTAAGTGCCGAGTCTCCCGGGCACAGGCATCAGAGCTGGGCCTTGGAGGCCGCTCCTTGTGCCTGCTGTGCGGGCTGCTAGCCTGGCTCTCCTCTGCTTTCTGCTGTCCATGTTTTGGCATCAGTGACTTGCTTGGTTTCCCCCTTTGCTCTTATGTCTTTATTTTTTTACTGATGACTCACATGTTTTTGCGGTTCTTTTTCACCCGTTCATTCTCATCCAACTGGAATGGGTAGAGGTGGAACTGTTTGGGGGAGCCCTGGTCATGCTGTCCCTGCCTCTGCTGTGCTCACCTCCTCCCTTGGTGTCCCCCAGCTGACCCACTGCTGTGGCTTGATGACGGTCAGCATGCTCTTCCATTGGAGTCACAGCTCAGATTGTGTTAATCCCCAAAAAAAAGTCCTGACATCGGTAGAGAAGAAAATACTAAAGAATTTTAAAATGACTTGTTCAGGAAAAAGTGGTTTCAAAAGGTCTGATACTAGCTGTGTTTTACATCGCACGTATTTCAGGAAGAAAATAGCAAGGAAAGTTATTTCCCTTGTAAAATGGTTACCCCTTGCTTTCTCATTCTAGAGTCTTCATCATCCAAACCTGGAAAGAAAATCCCAGCAGGAGCTGTTTCTGTATTTTTAGGTAACATAACTTAGGTTTGTTTTCTAAAAACTACACAAATACTGTTTTTTGCATTTCAAAATTATCATCTTCTAAAGTCTGGCTGGAGATGAGGAAGTACCTGGGAGCTTCAAAGGGCTTTGAGCATCTTATAGAAAGAGCTCATTTACTGATATTAGCTCTTATTCTCCTAGAGCTCAGTGGCCTTGGACTTTTTTGTGTTTGAGCTGACCTGGTGATTCTCCGTTGTGAGATGTTCTGTAGCAGTAATGGATGGAGGCTATTGGGCCCTGTTATGCATTTTGTGGATTAACTGAAATGGAAAGTTTTTGGTGGGTGATAATTTTTTTCTGTAAATTCAACCGGCCCACACTGGCTCACAGCTGTGGCTGTCTTGTCTTTCCACCCACAGGAGACACGGATGTGTTTGGTGCTGCCTCCGTTCCATCAATGAAGGAGCCACAGAAGCCTGAGCAGCCCACTCCAAGGAAAAGCCCCTATGGTCCCCCTCCCACTGGCCTCTTTGATGATGATGATGGTGATGATGATGACGACTTTTTCTCGGCACCCCACAGCAAACCTTCTAAAACAGGTATGTGTTCCTGCCTCCGTTTCTAGGACTTCAGCCAGAAAAAGAACGTTGCCTAAAAAGAACATAAGCTCACCTAGTTCTGTATCTCTTACAGTGCCAGAATCCCTTCTCCAGCATTCCTGTCATTGAGTTGTTGTGTCTGTACTTACATAGGTGTGGTGCCTGGGAGGTCTGTTTTATGATCCAATCTTTTCTGCTCTGTAAGCTAATTACTATGATTATTTTCCTTATAGAGAGCTGAAATCCTTTTCTGTATAATTTTTGCTTGCAATTTCCAGTTCTGACCTTTGGTATTGTAAAGTTTTAATCATCCTTTCTTCCAGCCGACCTTAGTCAATTACATGAGCAGCAGGTTGTGTGCCGGCCATTTATTTCCCAGCTTCTCATTTCTCTGCCAAAAAGCTCAGGTGGCCTTGGTCTTTCCTCAGATGATGTTTTCATCCCCTTGGCCACTTCGGCATTCTCCTCTCTTTTCCTCTTAAATGTAAGTCCTATGTCCTGAAGTCATTCCCATAAATCATTTGTTTTTAAATGTGCAGATGAATCTTCCAGGGGCTTTTGTCAAAATGAAGATTCCGATTCAGTAGGTCCAGGGTGGGGCCTGAGAATTTACATTTCCAGCAAGCTTCATGGTCTGTAGATCACACTTCGAATAGCAAGACTTAGATCCATTGACTGCTCTTCCAGAAAAGAAAGGTAGATCCCTAGATCCCTAAGGTGCACATGATTTTCAGCAACTTTAAAAAATAAAAAAGGATGGCATAGGAATGGATGGAACTAGAATGCATTTAGAAGCCGGCTGTTTGGACTCACTCTCTTCCAGTGTTAGGTGTAGAAAGTAAGGATGGAAGCCGAAGTGTGAGGGAAAACGATAGCCTAGTTAATCTAGAAAGAGTGCAAACGGATGCAGAATGCACACAGGTCTCAGTGAAGATGACAATGCACACAGGTCTCGGTGAAGATGACAGTGAATGAAGGTAGTAGTGCTTTTTGTAGCTCCACAGGGCTCTTACTTAGTGGATATCTTTGAGAACTGATTTAGAATCCCTAGTAAATTGATGCTGCTTTCTTTGACAACTCCTAGTCTCTTCAGACATTCATGAGTCAGTGACCTCATTTCAGCAACACATGCCCTATTCGGTACAGCAGTGCTTATGGTGATGAAAGGTTGGAAACCACCCAAATACTTATCAGTAGAGTAAGCTATGGCCCTTCTATTCAGTGGACTATTCTGTGACAGTTAAAAAGAAAGGGGTCTACGCTTGTTGACTTGGGAAGATTTTGTAGGTACATTAAGTGGAAAACACAAATGGTAAGACATTGTTCAAATTATCTTCTTATTTATAGCCTTATTTATAAATAACTAGTGTTAATTCATTAGTACATCCTTTGGGGGAATTAGAAGCATGTATGCTGAACTGTTCCCAATGTTCATCTTGTTTGAGTAGACTGGTGGAATTATGAGGGGATTTCATTATTTGCTTTTATCTGCTTTTGTACAGTTTGATTTTTTTTAAAACAGGAGCCAAGCCTTCATTTCTCAGATTCCTTAGATGATTGACTTGGTGGCCCTCTTAAATGATCTTTCTTCCTCTAGATCTCTCTTCACCTTGTAAGCCAGTCCAAGCTACTCTAAGTACAGGAAATGGCTGCTTGGATAAGCATGTCAGCCACGTGGATAAACTGTCTGTTCTGTCTTTCAACTGAACTGCTACTATGCACTTTGAAAAATTCCAAGGGAAGAGTATAGTTCCACTTACTATTTCTTTATAACTAATCAAGAAACAACATAACTTTTTATGTTTATTCTTTGGGAGGGAAGAATTTTTTAATCTGTGAATTTTGTGATAGGATGTTTGACGTTAGTGTCATTTTATGCCTTGGTATTTTTTACAGGCAAAGTCCAATCCACTGCCGATATCTTTGGTGACGAAGAAGGAGATCTGTTCAAAGAAAAAGCCGTAGCATCGCCAGAAGCCACTGTGAGTCAGACAGATGAAAATAAAGCAAGAGCAGAAAAAAAGGTGAGCAGGAGGGAAGACTTAACGCAGGAGCATTGATCTGCCGCATTTTAATAATTCATCCTGAACCCAGAGGGAAGTGCTGTTCCCTTTCACGTTCATATTGAAGAACTTCAAACAGAAAGTGGAAAGAACATTGCAGTGAACACCCAAATAACTGCCACCCAGATTGATCAGTTCTTAGGGTTTTGGCAAACACTTTATGGATGTAAACCTTGTTACATATCTATTTTTTTCCTGAACTATTTGCATGTAAGTTGTTTGAACTGTTTGCTGCATGGAACTGTTTCCATGTAGTCATTGTGACATTCTACCCCTAAATATTTCATTAAGCCTCTCTTGAAAAGACTTCCATATAAGCGCAATGCCATTATCAACAGCTGTGAGACTAACAGTAATTCTATAGTAGAATCTAATATCTAGTCTGTATTAGAATTGCTCCAGTTGCCCCAGAATGTCTTTGTAAAATCACCCCAACAAATAGAATACAGATTTAAAATTATCTCGCATATAGTTCATACTGCAATTTCCTCTCTTGTCCCCAAAATGCCATTTACAGCAGTGATCCCCAACCTTTTTGGCATTAGGGACATAAGGAGAGTGCAACCTGCAATCTAGATCCCTCACATGCACAGTTCACAATAGCGTTTGCCTTCCTGTGAGAATCTGATGCTGCCACTGATCTGACAGGAGGAGGAGCTTAGGCAGTAATGCTTGCTGCTCACCTCACCTCCTGCTGTGTGGCCCGGCTTCTAACAGGCCATGGACTGGTCTGCAGCCCAGGGTTGGGGACCCCTGCTTTATAGTATTTTTTTATGTTTTGATTTTTTTTTTGTTCTAAGAAACTCAGGATTTGGACAGTGTGTCTGCATTGCATTTGGTTGTCATGTCTCTTTGGTCTCCTTAATCTAGAGCAACACCTCCCACATCTTTTTTTTTTTAATATCCAGCCACTTGTATTGTAGAATGTGTCTCGTGAATTTGCTTGATTATTTTCCTATGAATAGATTCAGGGTGAGAAGTTTTGGCAAGAATACAAGCAGGCAGGGTTGTGCACTTCCAGTTGGATCACCTCCCAAGACACATCAGGTCCACTGTCTGCCTCATTCAGACACGTTTGTCACTTGGTTGTTAGGGTGCCCACCACACTGCTTCATTGGAAAGGTACCCTGTCCTCTTTTGCCATTGCTAAGTTGATCTCTAAAGCGATAGTTGAACACAGTGTGAATACCTGTTCTCTCCCAGCCTTTTACTCAGTGTTTTGAAAATCCACTGATGATCTTTTCTTGACTCAGTTAATCTGTTAGCGGGCACAAACCACTATTTTTTTAATTCTATATTTCTTATTAGTTGGCATTCTTCTGAATGAAGTTCTTTCTCTCCCTCTCCTTCCCCGATTTTTAGTATTGCTTTGGGATCATGTATTCATTCTTCAGTGTAGATGATAATCCATTACCATCATTCTTCTTCTTTTTTTTTTTTTTTTATGAGACAGGGTCTTGCTCTGTTGCCCAGACTGGAGTGTAGTGGTACAATCACAGCTCACTGCAGCCTCAACCTCCTGGGTTCAAGCGATTCTCCAGCCTCAGCCTACCAAGTAGCTGGGACTATATGCGTGCGCCACCATGCCCGGCTAATTTTTTGTGGAGACGGGTTTTGCCCATGTTGGCCAAACCATCATTCTTTTTGATGCTCAGATTGACCTGCATTTGGCCAGTGTGTGTGTCCCCAGCAGTCTTTAAGCCCTTCTGACTGCTTGACCTTTCACTGCTGTCCTGTACAGCTGGTCCCTCCTCTTTCTACAGTTTTGTCTCTTTGTGTCGTGTCCTGGCTGTGAAGCCCTGACTTTCTCCTGCCGACCACCTAAGGCCCAGCATTCAGAACCTGTCAGGCCCGTCAGGCAGCCTGTCTTTCCATGCTGTCTCTCATTGCATATGTCCCATCTGTGCACCCATTGACCCAGACTGTGTGTCCTGCTCCCTGATACACCAGATGTGTCCTCTGTTTGTCTTGCTGTTCTCTTAACAGCCCCCTCAGCTTGCTGCCTATCACAGCAGAGACTCCGTGCGTTTTCTCGATTGATTGAGTAAACCCTCTTTTCTGGGTATCTTACGTGTTAATGCTTAATTTTTCTTTTTCTTTTTTTCTTCCCCACCCCCCCCCCCACCCCCGACAAAGGTTACCTTATCTTCCAGCAAAAATCTCAAGCCCTCATCAGAAACAAAGACTCAAAAAGGCTTATTTTCAGATGAGGAGGACTCTGAGGTATGGAATTCTTTTGCTTAGTTGTGGGTATTAGTCTATGGATATGACATAGAAACTATTTTTGAATCAGGTTTTTCTCAATAGAGTTATAAGACTTTTTGTTAAGTACTCCAGTTCTTTAAAAATTATCTCTAGAGGCCAGGAGTAGTGGTTCATGCCTGTAATCCCAGCACTTTGGTAGGCCAAGGCAGGCGGATACCTGAGGTCAGGAGTTGGAGACCAGGCTGGCCAACATGATGAAACCCAGTCTCTATTAAAAAGACAAAAATTAGCTGGGTATGGTGGTGCGAGCCTGTAATCCCAGTTACTCAGAAGGCTGAGATAGGAGATTCACTTGAACCCGGGAGGCAGAAGTTGCAATGAACCGAGATCACACCATTGCACTCCAGTCTGGGCGACAGAGCGAGACTTCATCTCAAAATAAATAAATGAATAAAAAATAATCTCTTGAGAGCACAGGGGCTTTAGAAAGCAATATGTTTACAATACTTTTCACTTTGGGTTGGACTGTATTTACATTTCCTGGGATGAAAATCCTCTCTCTTTAGGATGCTCAGATTTTAAACTGTTCATGGGCTCATGATGTGATGAGGAGCTTGCACCAGAGTGGAGGTCACCATGCTACTTCCTTTATTCACATTCTCACTAACTAGACCATGCCTTAACGCTGTAGCAGATGGGTTCTGGCATAGCCATCTGTCTTGTCGAGACTGAGACCACTAACAGCCTCTGGGACCCTGGTTCATAGGTTGCTTTGGTCCCTCCAGGCACCTTAGAACCACCTCTCAGAATTTCACTGCTTTTCCTGAGTCTCTCAGGCCTAGGTCGTCTTAGATCCAATTTTAAGTTGGCCTTTTAGGAGATCATAGAACTGTATGAGATTGTAATGGGAAGTAATAAGCCCCTTTTACAGAAAAATATGTGGACATGGCAGAAACTTACATGTATTTCAAGAAACTGTGGGCTCTAGATTAGGCTGTCATGGTTGGGCTTTGCACTCACAGCAAGGATGAACATGGAACCCTTTGGAAGTAGAGTGATTGCCCTTGATGTAAAGAATACCTTTGAGGCTATCACTGAAGGCGAGTGTACAAAACGTAGGAATTAACCAAAGTCCAGTTAAGTCACAACCCTGACCCCTGAGAAACAGCATGATGGGGCCTCCACCGTCTTATGCTCATGGATCCCATGTGTCACCCACACCTGCACCTCAGGGTCTTTGCACCGGCCCCTGCCACTCTGAGGAATGCTGTTCCCAGAATCCAGCTTGCTTCCTCACTCTTCGATTTCTCTGTGAGGCCTCCCTGATGAAATACACACAGCAGGAAGCCTGCTAGCACATACCACGCTGTGCTCCTGTTCCTCTTTCCTATTTCACTGTTTACCACAGCACGTGTTGCCAGGGACAGTGTATATTTACTTATTCATTGTCTCTACTTCCCACTAAAGTACGTGCCATGAGGGCAGGACTTTGTATTCCCTATTTGTATCCCTAACACCCCGTCCTTAATACCAGTGCTTGGCATGTTGTAAGCCATCCAGTAATTGTTGATTAGACAAGAAAACCAAATGTGAACAATTTCAGTGACTTACGAGATGTTCTGGTTATTTGTTGCTATGAAACAAGTAACTCAAAAACCTAGTGGTTCATAACACCCATAGTTTTGTTGTCTCACAGTTCGAGAGGTTGACTGGGCTTAGCTAGGCCATTGTCACTGAGGGTCTCTTGTGTCTGAAGGTGGCTGGGCTGAGGATCACCTTATTCATATGTCTGGTACCTGGGCACTGGGGCCCCTGGGACATCTCTCACTAGCCCTGTGTGGCTCCCAGCATGTAGTCAGGGAAGCCGGTCCTCTTACATGCTGGCTCAGGGCTGTAGGGGAGAGTCCTCAGAGAGAGCCCGATGGAGGCCATGTTGCCTTCTTTGTTCCAGCCTTGGAAGTCAACGGTGTTCCTTTTGCTTCATTTGTTGGCCAAGATGGTCACAATGGCCCATCCAGGTTTATGGGGAGAGGCCATAGGCTCCCCTTCTTGATGGTGGGAGTGTAAATGTACTCTCAGACTTGTGTGAAAACCCTACCAAAGGCTTTGCCCCATGTGTGTCATCATAGAGCGAATGTTTTTATTGGATATTGTTCAGATTCTAAGGCAAGGAGAGGTAAAACTAAGGCAGTCTAAGTAAGAGTTAAAGCTTTGGACCCGAAGGAATGCGTCCTGACTCCTTTCTCTATATCTCAAGTGTGAGGCTGAAGCTTGCCCTGTGGTCATTTTGGGGGAACATATTTGAGGTAATGGAAGTGTCTTTTCTTGCAGTACCAAGAAAGGTATCAGTTAAGGGTCCGAAACTGTGATGTTGACATTTGTTTTTGTTCTTTGCTTTGGTTTACTTTCATTTTCTTAGAACAGCAGAACCCTTTCTCTTGCCATTGTGTAACATGCAGGAGGGACACGGGATGCCTGGAATTCCCCTTGTGGCCTCTTCTATCTAAATAAACCCATGGGACTCCGGGGAGCACAGGGGAAAAACACTGTGTGGAGGAGATCTCACTTAGTGAACTCATTAGGTCTATATTTAGGAGTAGACAGCGACCCCATAATTAAAAAAAAAAAAAACTGTCCAAAGAGGTCTTAGAAATATCTTCTTGTCCTATTTAATTGTTCGGCTCTTGTGTATTGAAGTTTATCTTCCCAAGGGAATAGATGTCCCATTTTATGTTTCTACTTCATGTAGGTCAACTTGCAGGTCTTTCTTTGCAGGATAAGCTGATGTTTTATAACATTTTGAAAATTTCTTGATTTTTATATTTTTTAGCTATTTTGAGATGAAATTATACTCTTTTTGCCTAGGCTGGAGTGCAATGGTGGGATCTTGGCTCACTGCAACCTCTGCCTTCCGGGTTCAAGCAATTCTCCTGCCACAGCCTCCTGAGTAGCTGAGATAACAGGCACCCACCACCACACCTGGCTAATCTGGTATTTTTACAAAATTAATATAGGCTGGTCTTGAACTCCTGACCTCAGGTGATCTGCCTGCCCCAGCCTCCCAAAATGCTGGGATTATAGACATGAGCCACAGCACCGAGCTGAAAGTTTCTTTAGAATCTATCAGGTCTTATCCTGGTTTGCAATGTCATATACCTATAGTTAAGCTAAGTAGACTAGCAAACATTTAAAAATAAAGTTTAATTTGTATTTACTTAAAAGAAATATGTCGGCCGGGTGTGGTGGCTCAAGCCTGTAATCCCAGCACTTGTGGAAGCCGAGGCGGGCGGATCACAAGGTCAGGAGATCGAGACCATCCTGGCTAACATGGTGAAACCCCGTCTCTACTAAAAATACAAAAAAATTAGCCAGGCGTGGTGGCAGGCGCCTGTAGTCTCAGCTACTCAGGAGGCAGAGGCAGGAGAATGGCGTGAATCCGGGAGGCGGAGCTTTCAGTGAGCCGAGATTGCACCACTGCACTGCAGCCTGGGCAACAGAGCGAGACTCCGCCTCAAAAAAAAGAAAAAGAAGTAAGTCATAATCTTAGGGGAGGAGGGTGTTACTAAATAAAATAGTTGTAGCTCCATTAATTTGGGAATCTAGCCCCTGTTTCTTTATTGACCCTGTCTAATCTTTGATTCTTTAGACGGTAATGGGAAGCCATGCTTATATATTTATTTTTTTAGCATGGTGTAGGAAATTGATTCAAAAACTTATTCCTGCCTTCTGTCATTCAGGTGGGAATACAGAAGCCCCTGGGCTCTGCGAGGCCACCAGATCCTGTAGCTCTCCTCCTCCTTAGTGCCACTGCACACACCCTGCACAGACCCTGAGGCCTATCCCTTTAAGGACTCTGTCTGAGCCACCTTCCCTCTCAGGAAAGAAGCCTAGACACATGGCAGCTGTCATGTCTGAGTCACTTGTGTTTTATACTGACCTGATATTTTAAAAACTGATATTCCTGTTAACCAGCAACTTTAATTTCAATCCAACAGGATTTGTTTTCTTCTCAAAGTGCGAGTAAGTTAAAAGGTGCGTCTCTGCTGCCTGGCAAGCTCCCCACGTTGGTTTCCCTGTTTGATGATGAAGATGAAGAGGTAAACATTGTTATTGTAACACTAGATAATTTAGATTAGGAGAAAACGGTTGTTGATGCAACTTTCTACCCAGAGGCTCATATACTAGCAAAAGGTGGTAGGGAAGCAGTCAGGCCACCTGAAGTTTATATAACAAAAATATTTCTGTTTTTATTTCAGTGACTTCTTCCTTATATTTTCCTAGCTGTGCAATGGAGAAGACATTAGATTCTTGATGCAGTTCTTTTTTTTTTTTTTTTCCGAGTTGGAGACTTTCTCTGTCACCCAGGCTGGAGTGCAGTGATGCGATCTTGGCTCACTGCAACCGGGTTCAGGTGATTCTCCTGCCTCGACCTCCCAAGTAGCTGGGACTACAGGCGTGCACCACCACTCCCGGCTAATTTTTGTATTGTTAATAGAGACAGGGTTTCACCATGTTGGCCAGGCTAGTTTCGAACTCCTGATCTCAGGTGATCCGCCTGCCTCGGCCTCCCTAAGTGCTAGGATTACAGGTGTGAGCCACCATGCCTGGCTTCTTGACACAGTTCTTATGGAGTGAAATCTACAGGTTTTATTTTTAGAAATCTGCCTTTGAGAAATACAATTGACCCTTTAACAGTGTGGAGGTTATTTTGACTTCCACATTGCAGTGAAAAATCCATATATAACTTCTTACTTCCCAAAAACTTATCTACTGATAGCTTACTGTTAACCAGAAGCCTCATGGATAACATAAACAGGTGATTAACATATAAATAGTATAATATCTATTTATATATTTTTGTATTCCTGACATATCCAGCTTTTCCTTATTTTTTTTATGATATTTCTAGGCCACATGGTTTGTCTGCAAGATTTTTCAAATTGTTGCAAATGTCCAAAAAAATTTTCAACATATTACTGAGAAAACATTTGTGTAGAAGTGGACCTGTGCAGCTCAAACCTGTGTCATTCAGGGTCAGCTGTACTTTAGTCTAGAGGATGGATCAACATATACCCAATGACCTACAAGAATGTTTTGGATCAAGTGGAGATACAAAGGAGAAGGCAGCCATGTCCTGACCATTGTCTTTCTTTCCCATCCTGGCTGGAGAGAGCACAGTGGGGAAGAGAAATAAGAGAGAAGACAACCCAAACCTTAACTCTCATGCAGTACTGGGCGGTGGTGAGCTCAAAGGCTTTGCCATCAGACCCCTGGGTTCATATCCCAGCTCCACCACTTGCAAACCAGGGACCTGGGGCAAGTAACTTAACCTTCCTTAAGCTTATGTGGCTTAACAGTGAGTAGGGTCACTGTGGCAGCTGTAACTACTAGTGTGAAGCTCTTGCAGAGTGCTGGCACATAATAAGTGCATAGTGAATGTGAGCTCTGTCATTAGCATCCCCAATGGACACCAGCTCATTATTCTCCTGGCCTGTCCTACATTACCGCACTCTCCTTAAAGGAGACTTCATCCAGGAAGACACTCCCTTCATCCATCTTCACATTCCAGGGCTGTTCACCTGAGTTTGTCCATCCTAACTCAGATTCAGGCCCTCTGATGCTTTTGTTCCCCTTATCTGAATAAAAGCACCTTAATAAATATAACTTTTGGGGAGTGCTTGACCACAGAAGAATTTACAAATGCCATTAAACTTAGTACACCAGCAATTTTATTTAGTAAGCTATTTCTCCACTTTGTATAATCTCTTTGAAACTAATGAGAAACACAAGTCATGCCTTCCCTCCATCCCAGGTGTATGTCTTTCTGACCTGTAAAGGAGTGGAGACAGACCCCCAGTTCTCTCCTTTCAGCCATTGTTCTGGTTTCTCATTCGTGGAGACAACAGTGTGAGTTTCTGGCTGCTGCGGGGGCTCCCGTGCCCATTGCAGGCTGTAACCCCCTGAAATGAGCAGAGAGGCACTTGCCCACAGGGTGACTGGATGGGGCTCAGTTTCTCCTTGTACTTCATGATCTCATTTGCATGTTGTTCTCCTGCTTATATGCAGCTGTTCTGCCTTCGAGTTCTATGGTAATCTCTTTCCCTTCTATGGGTGCAGTGAGAAAAGGCTGTAGTTTGGGATTTACTAGCATTTTGCGGTTTTTCCCCGCCAGAGTTGTTATTTGTATACCTGACTGGAGACTTACTTCCTTAAAGTTTGATATAGGAGGACATCCTATGTTTTCTGATTATAAAGTTGTCTTACCTTTCTGCCATTTGCTTTTCTAGGATAATCTTTTTGGGGGTACAGCTGCTAAGAAGCAGACATTGTGTCTACAAGCTCAGAGAGAAGAGAAAGCAAAAGCCTCCGAGCTCTCCAAAAAGAAAGCATCTGCCCTGTTGTTCAGCAGTGATGAGGAGGTGAGCTGAGGTTTCTGCTAAAGAAGAGGGGATTATTTCATGGGATTTAAGAGTTAAAGCCATCCCAAGTCTTTTTCTACCTGTTTTATATCTCGTGATGTTCAGTCACCAAAGGCGATGTTCACAAGATTGTCTTTTCTGACGGAAGACATTTAATGTAATATATTAATTTAAAGATGAATCTCTTCAAAATGGTTAGGAATAGGTATGACTCCCACACAATAGTGTATGCTCCTTCAAATGAGTTAGGCCGGCTAGGGGGGAAATGATTTCTCAGCCATCGCTAGTTCATGGTCGAGTCCCTTAGAACAAATGACAGATTAACCAGAGAAAAGTGTGCAAGTTTACGTAAGATAAGTTTTACCAGACACAGGAGCCTTCAGAAAGAAAAACTCAAGAGAAACAGGAAATCCTGTGTCAATTTTATGCAGTCTGATGAAGAAGCGGACAGTTTTGGGGAGCACGATTAGATGAAAGGGGTGTGACCTGATGGGAATAAGCTGGGGGGAGCTCAGCAAGGCCTGTGTGGTCAGATCATTCTCTGCATCTTTACAAATAAGGAGGCTCCTTTCCTCTGGGAATAGGGAGGACTGGAATGAAGGTTTTATGACCTACTCCAGAGAGGGTTAGAGGATTCTTCTATGTCCTGCTTCAGAGGAGAAGGGCCAGGGAAAGGTCAGAGAGACCTTTCTGCTTCTGTTTTCTCAAATGCCAAGGTGTCATATTTTGAGGTAGCATGTCCCGTATACCCCAATGGCCATATATACTAGTATCTTGTTAAATGACTACTGTGTTTCATTAATTTAGAACTATAGTTAGGAGGAGTTACCTATTGAGGTTAAACTCCTTTTTGAGGGAGTCTTAACAATATTTCTGTTTGTGATCTGGATAGATACTACCAAATCAGTTAGTTTAGTTGCTAACTCAATCAGATTTAGTAGCAGGGAATCAGATTTAGCTGTGCAGAAAAAGACTTTAAATATGATGATATAAAAAATCCTGAGTAGTAAACATCTTCCTGTGTTATAATAATTCCTCTTTTTTTTTAACATTGTAGGCAAGTTAATAGGGGGTGAAGTGGATATATAAGTCATAGATATGTTCATGTTCTTACTGAAAGCAATTTAAAAATTCCGAAGCAGATTGCAAAAAAAAATGTATTAAAAGCTTATGCGGCCGGGCGTGGTGGCTCACGTCTGTAATCCCAGCACTTTGAGAGTCTGAGGCAGGCAGATCACTTGAGGTTGGGAGTTCGAGACCAGCCTAACCAACATGGAGAAACCTTGTCTCTATTAAAAATACAAAAAAATTAGCAGGTTGTGGTGGCGCATGCCTGTAATCCCAACTACTCAGGAGGCTGAGGCAGGAGAATCACTTGAACCCAGGAGATGGAGGTTGTCGTGAACCGAGATCACGCCATTGCACTCCAGCCTGGGCAACGAGCGAAACTCCGTCTCAAAAAAAAGCTTATGCAACACACATGTGAACAAGACACAATGAAAAACTGCTAGTAATCCTTTTACTACAAAAGTCTGAGTCTGGCCTTTAGAAAGCGTTTAAGGAATTCCCACCCAGCTGTGCTCATGCCTTCACATCAAGGAACTCCCAAGCATATATAATTTGTGTTTTCTACTCAAATGTATGAATTTATGATAGATTATCCAGTTTTTTTCTTTTAAACATTGTCGGTGATTGTTCCCCCTGTAGCAACAGCCAGACATCAGTGTAGTTGCTCCTACTAGAGTATTATAGTGGTTCAGGGAAAATAAAAACATTACCTAAAGCTTGGAGCAAAAAGACATGCAGAAGAAAGACAGCCAAGGTTCTAGAACAGGGGCGTCCAGTCTTTTGGCTTCCCTGGCCCACACTGGAAGAAGAAGAATTGTCTTGGGTCACACATAAAGTGCGCTAATACTAACAATAGCTGACGAACTAAAAAAATAAAAAGGTTCGTGCATAAATCCCATAATGTTTTAAGAAAGTTTACAGATTTGTGGTGGGCCGCATTCAAAGCCATACTGGGCTGTGTGTGGCCCATGGGCCACAGGTTGGACAAGCTTGTCCTAGAACAAAGGCTGTCAACTTCGGCTGCTCATTGGGATCCATGGGGAACTTAAAAGAGTGCTGACAGGCCGGGCACAGTGGCTCACGCCTGTAATCCCAGCACTCTGGGAGGCCAAGGAGGTGGGCAGATCACCTGAGATTAGGAGTTTGAGACCAGCCTGGCCAACATGGCGAAACTCTGTCTCTACTAAAAAATACAAAAATTATCTGGGTGTTGTGGTGCTTGCCTGTAATCCCAGCTACTCAGGAGGCTGAGGCAAGAGAATCACTTGAACCCGGGAGGCAGAGGTTGCAGTGAGCCGAGACTGCGCCACTGCACTCCAGCCCGGGCCACAGAGCAAGACTCTGTCTCGAAAAAGGAAAAAAAAAAAAAAAAAAAAAAAGAAGACCTGACGAGTGCTGACAGTGGATCCCAGCTCCAGAGATTCTGAATTAATCTGGTTGGGGTACAGCCTCGTCATTGGAGTTTTGTGATACTCTCTAGTGGATTTCAGCGTTTAGTCACTGCTAAACATTGAGGAGCACTTCTCAAACCTTCATGTTTAGGAAATCACCCAGGCACCCTGTGAAATGCAGGTTCTGATTCAGAAAATAGGCGCGGGGCCTGAAATTCTGCATAATCTGCTGCTGGCTTGTGGACTCCAGTTTGATTTGCAAGACTCTAGACTCCAGAGATAGAGCACTTATGCAAGTGCTTGGGAGTTCTTTGATTTGAAGGGGTGTGAGCATAGTCGAGTAGAATTTCCTTAAATGCTTTCTAAAGGCCACATTCAGACTTGTGGTAAAAGGATTACTAGCAGTTTTTCATTGTGTCTTGTTCACATGTGTGCTGCATGAGTTTTTACACTTTTTTTTCAATCTGCTTTAGGATTTTTAGAATTAAAATATTCTTCTCTGGAGTTGGAAGTTCTTGAGTTCTTGGTATTTTTACATTTGGCTTCCTTCTTATAGCCTCTGTAATTAATGTTGATTCCCTGAAATAGACAAGTCGCTTGTCGTAATACAGTGCAGAACCACAGTGGGAAGAGACATCGTGGCAGGTGTTGGAGGAGGAAATCATGAGAAGCTCTGTGAGGTCAGAGAGCCCAGCTGTCTAGATTTGAGTTCAAAGAAAAGTCTTAAGCATGAGCTTTCTTCAAGACTGATGCACTAAGTTTAATACTTAGTTTAAATACAACTTAGTTTAACAAATATAAGTTTGATTTTACTCCCCATGTTTTATAATCTAAATTGCCATTGGACTTTTTTTTCTTTTTTTGAGACAGAGTCTCGCTCTGTCCCCCAGGCTGGAGTGCAGTGGCACGATCTCCGTTCACTGCAAGCTCTGCCTCCTGGGTTCACTCCATTCTCCTGCCTCAGCCTCCCGAGTAGCTGGGACTACAGGCTCCCGCCACCACGCCCGGCTAATTTTCTTGTATTTTTAGTAGAGACGGGGTTTCACCATGTTAGCAAGGATGGTCTTGATCTGCTGATCTCGTGATTCACCCGCCTCGGCCTCCCAAAGTGCTGGGATTATAGGTATGAGCCACTGCGCCTGGCCTGGAGTTTTAATATATATTTTATGTTTTAAGGACCAGTGGAATATTCCTGCTTCACAGACCCACTTAGCATCTGACAGCAGGTCTAAAGGAGAACCCAGGGATTCTGGGACCCTCCAGAGCCAGGAGGCCAAGGCTGTGAAAAAGACCAGTCTCTTTGAGGAAGACGAAGAAGATGATCTTTTTGCCATTGCCAAGGACAGGTGAGATAGTCATTGGAAGGAGTCCCTCACTCCGTTACCGTGGTAACAAGAAAAGGAATCTGATGCACAATCTAGTTCATCGGGTGATTGCTAATCATGGATCACATAGTGATTGTGCCAGTGAGAATGTCTTTGCTTTTCAATGGCACCATCTTTTCCCTCAGTACCCGGAAATGTTTGTCTTTGTGGATCCTTATCTGATTTCTTCCCCAATCATTATTTTTTAACCATATTCTTTTTCTTTGTTTGTCAGGGATTTGAGTATCTTTTGTTTGTGATTTTTCTCTGGGCTACTCTAAAGTATGTCAGGTTTGGTCAGGATTACTTAAAAGTTACTTTAGGCCAGGCACGTTGGCTCATGCCTGTAATCCCAGCACTTTGGGAGGCCGAGGTGGGCGGATCACGATGTCAGGAGTTCAAGACCAGCCTGGCCAATATGGTGAAACCCTGTCTCTACTAAAAAAATATAAAAATTAGCCGGGTGTGGTGGCACGCGCCTGTAGTCCCAGCTACTTGGGAGGCTGAGGCAGAAGAATGGCTTGAACTTGGGAGGTGGAGGTTGCAGTGAGCTGAGATGGCACCACTGCACTCCAGCCTGGGCAACGGAGCAAGACTCCATCTCAAAAAAAAAAAAAAAAAAAAAAAAGTTATTTGAATAGAAATCTGCTCAGCATTTAACACATCCTGTTAGGAGGAAGTTCCCTGTAGAGCTGTGCAGTATCACTCCAGGGGCTGATAACCCATAGCCAACCTAGGTGCCTCTCCCCATTAATGCTGGAACTGAAGCTGCTAGGATATTCAGAGTGAGCGTGGGCTGTGGTTGGTATAACATGCTGCCAGATTAGCTTATGGGTTCAGAATTACTTCCCTGCAAATACTTTTTTTCCTTTTGAAAGCCTGACATGATTACTTTGAAATTCACCTGAATGTTATTAGCAGAAAGAAGTAACTGATTGGACATGTAAATCCTATGCTTTGGTGTGGTTAAGCGTCATTTGATAGATTCAGAAGTACGTCAGGTTTCTGTCTCCAAATACTCGAATCTTGTCAAGCATCACCATTTCTGCATTAGGCCTCTGTAACTTGACACTCGGATGCATCTTTGGTCTCTGATTTAGAATATAGGCTCTGGAAACTTGATATTAAATTCTGATTCTGCCAGTTCCTGTCTGAATAACCTTGGGCAAGTTACCTAACTTCCCTGTGCCTCAATTTCCTCATTTGTTAAACAAAAATAAAAACAGCATTTCTCTCATCGGTTTGTTGGGATGATGAGGTGGAATCTAAATGTGAAATGCTGAGCACAAGAGCTGGCACATTCTGAGCCCTCAGGTATTGCCAGTTAGCATCGTGACTGCAGGGAAATAGTACATTCCTTTATTTTTGTTGCTCTCTCCTGGGACATTCTTCTTCCTGTGTTGCCTGGCCACCTTCTTTCAAAACTAAGTGTAAGTCTTGTTTCATAAGAAGCCTTCCCGGCTGGGCGCAGTGGCTCACGCCTGTAATCCCAGCACTTGGGGAGGCCGAGGCAGGCAGATCACGAGGTCAGGAGTTGAAGAACAGCCTGACCAACATGGTGAAACCCCGTCTCTACTAAAAATACAAAAATGAGCTGGGCGTCATGTCACGCACCTGTAATCCCAGCTACTCGGGAGGCTGAGGCAGGAGAATTGCTTGAACCTGGGAGGCAGAGGTTACAGTGAGCCAAGATCTCACCACTGCACTCCAGCCTGGGCAACAGAGAGAGACTCCATCTCAAAAAAAAAGGCCTTTCCTAACTTTAAACAGACGAGAAAGAGAAGAAGTAGGGAGTCGAGGGCGGTCATGGCTCCACCTTCATACCCCAACACCCTCAGCTGAGCATTTTCTGCACTGTATCCAGGTTAGCTTATTCCCATGAGTGTCCACTACCCCCACCCCACACAAGGTCATAAATCTGGCAGTCTGAACCCCATCTTGTTTGTGGGTCCTGGTTCCAGCCACACACCATACCTGGCTTTCAGGAATGCTTTCTCTGCTCCAGATACATCCTACCTCCTATTGTTCCCGAAGTTGTCTGTCAAGTTTTGTGTATGGAAAGTAATTCATACCTTCATCAGATCTCAAAAGAAGCTTTACACACACAAGAAGAAGTTGAGGTGAGGATGTGGAGGAATTGGAACCCTCATACACTGCTGGTGGGAACGTAAAATGGTGTAGTCACTTTGGAAAGTAGTTTGGCATTTCCTCAAAATGTTAAACATAGAGTCACCATATGACATAATAGTTTCATTCCTATGTATATACGTATAAAGAGAAATGAAATTAGTTGTTCATATAAAAACTTGTACATGAGTGTTTATTGCAGCCTTAGTCATAACAGCCGAAAGTGTAAACAACCCAAATGTCCATCAACTGATGACTGGATAAACAAAATGTATAACCATACGATGGACTGTTCTTCAGCAATAAAAAAGAATAAAGTAGCGATGCATCCTAGAACATGAATGAACCTAGAAAATTTTATGTTACTTGAAAGAAGCTGGTCACAGAAAACCACATATTGTATTGTTCCATTTATATGAAATGTATAGATAAACCACAGAGACAGAAAGTAGATTAGTGGTTGCCAGGGCCTGTGGGGCAGGGGGAATGGAGAGTGATGGCTCATAGGCATGGCGGTTCTTTTTGGGGTCATGATAATGTTGTGCACTTAGGTTGTAGTGATATTGCACAACTCGATGAGTATATTAAAGAAAACATTGAAGTATGCACTTTAAAAGAGTGAATCTGGATTAAGAAAACCATTGAAGTACGCACTTTAAAAGAGTGAATCTGGCCAGGTGCAACGGCTCATGCCTGTAATCCTAACTGATTGGGAGGCCAAGTGGAAGGATCTCTTGAGGCCAGGTGTTTGAGACCAGCCTGAGCAACATAGAGCGACCTCACCTCTCCAAAAAAGTAAAAAAATTAGCCAGGCATGGTGACGTGTGCCTGTAGTTGTAGCTACTTGAGAGGCTACTTGAGTTCAGGAATTTGAGGCTGCAGTGGGATATGATTGTGCCATTGCTCTCCAGCCTGGGCAGTAGAGTGAGACCCTGTCTTAAAAAGTAAAATAAATATTAAAAATAAAGTAAATACAAGGTGAATTTTATGGAATGTAAATTATGTCTCAATAACGCTACTAAAAAAAAGAAATAGAAGCCAGGCACAGGGTCATTTCCCAGTGCTGATCCTGGCCCTGTGATCTCTCTTGGCAACCGTCTTCATGACAATTCTGGAAATAGGCCTGTCCGCTTTGATTCTTTTTGTGCTATAGGAAGTGGGAGAGAATGTTCTGCTTGGGAAGGCTCAGGCATCGTGTGCCTTGCAGCGGTAACAGCTGATGAACCTGCACTGGATAGTAACAGGAAAGGGGCAACCTGAGGCAGGAGGGACAGAGGCTGGTGATTTGTTGGAGTCAGATTTCATCTATTTCAAAGGTCTTTCCTGTTTGCTTTCAACTGTGTAAGGTCAACTAATGGCTTGGGTGTTTGGGTGGTAGGTGGATTCCTGTAGGTGCAGTCTAGAAGAAATATTGTTGTTATGGTTTTTGTTTTTTTCATCACACTTTTCCTTAATTTGACCTTTTGTTTGTTTGTGTAGCCAAAAGAAGACCCAGAGAGTGTCACTCCTCTTTGAAGACGATGTTGATAGCGGAGGCTCTCTGTTTGGCTCTCCTCCCACATCTGTTCCTCCTGCAACAAAGGTATTCTTCATCTCTTAGTCCCAGGAAATGTCCTTGAGTTTATGCTGCATCAGTAGTGGTACTTCCCCGAATCAGCTCTTCATACCTAACCTTGGAGGCTGAGTCTTATGGAAGACCTTATTTGCCTGGTTTCAGAAAGAGATCTTCTGATTAATAGTATTCTAGAGAAGAAGCACACGTGCAAAACCATCATTCAGTGTCAGGTGTAGGAACAAGGAACTGGGTCTCAGAAGAGGCTTGGGCCCCATTGTCATGGAATTCTGCTAACATTAGACTAGGCCAGTTAAGGCAAAATCATTCCTTTTATGAGTGTGTGTCGAGTACTAACACTGGTCCTGGTTTATATTAGCCAGTCAGTAAAAAGGAAGGAAATTCTCACATGTGCTACAAAATGCATGAACCTTGAGGCCGTTATACTCTATCAGTGGAGAAATGGTCACACAGGTCCTAGTACAGTTAGACTGTGGAATACTATACAGTGGTAAAAAAAACCCAGGGTGGAGCTTATTGGGATGAAAAACATACTGCAGGCCAAAAAAAAAAAAAAGCGTAAACACGTAAACATGGTGTAATTTAAACTTTACAAAACAAGAAATACACATGAATGCCTGGAAACCGGCCTGAAAGCATCGATAGCACATTGTTACCAGTGATTATGTCCAGGGAAAGGTATGGAATGGGGAACTTCATACTCTCAATGCCTTTTTAAAGCCTTTTTAAGGAAGGCATTTGTGCATTACTGTGGAATTAGAAATAAACTCCAAACAAAAAATATCTAGGAGATATGGAAGAAGACCCTTCCTGTTAAATGGAGTTGCTCAGCTTATACCAGAAGCTCTCAGCCCTGGGCCAGCATGCTGCCCACCCTGGGCCCCAGGCTCCCTGCTGCTGCTTCTACGGGGCTCCTGAGCCTTTCCTTGGGTGCTCTGTACTTACATCTCCCCCTTTAAGGACATCCAGTGGTTGTACAATTAAAGGAGTCAGGAGATCTGATTGGTTTTTCTTTGTAAATTATAAATAAACTACTCTGGAGGATAACTGAGCAATAAATTAATGAATTTTGGAGCCTCTGGAGCTGTAAAACTTCTTTCAACCTATGGTAATTATGATTGTTAAATAAAACAAAAGGTCAAGACACACAACTTAAGTAGCTGAATAGCCTACACGTTTTTGATTATTTGTGAAATATAATCATCTTTAGACAATAGTAAATAAAAGATATTTCTTGTTTACAGATATTTCAGTGTAAGTTAATTGTGACTTGGTTGTAAGCCTATGTTGACCAAAAGGTTAAACCACAGGCAGGAGAACTTAAAGAAATGTAATGTGAGTTTTGTTTTGAGCCAAGCTTGAGAACTACTAGCCCAGTAAAGAGACTCCACACAAACTGAGAATGCGTCCCAGAGTGGGCCACACGAGACACAGCATTTATACATTTCTGTTATATAGAAAATGGGAAAAGGGGGCAGTGAAGCAACGGTGACTTTCTTAATTCAGATTGGTGCTCGGTGACATTGAATATAAGATAAAGTAAATATGTGGTTAATGTATTTTCCTCATTAGCCTTTTACCCTAATGAGTACATAGGGGTCGCAGTTGCAGGGTCAGGAGAGGGATGGTTGATTTTGTGCTGCCTTTGTGCTTCATCCAATAGGCAGGTTGTAATCGGTGCCTGTCAGTGTGATATTTGACAGACTCTGGCCTTGCAGGTGAGGTTCAGCTTTCGTTCATAGGCCCGGTTTCTATTACCCATATGGCCAAGATGCAGCCATTTTAGACAATTTTTTTTTCTTCAGACTTTCCTTATTTTCTGACACCTATCAAGAAAGTAAATTTGACCAGGCGTGGTGGCTCACGCCTGTAATCCCAACACTTTGGGAGGCTGAGGTGGGTGGATCACCTGAGGTCAGGAGTTTAGGACCAGCCTGGCCAACATGGTGGAACCCCATCTCTATTAAAAATACAAAAATTAGCCAGGCATGGTGGTGCACGCCTGTGATCCCAGCTACTAGGGAGGCTGGGGCAGGAGAATCGCTTGAACCTGAGAGATGGATTTTGCAGTGAGCTGAGGTTGTGCCAGTGCACTCCAGCCTGGGCAACAGAGTGAGACTCCATCTCAAAAAAAAAAAAAAGAAAGAAAAAAACAGGAAGTAAACTTCATGACAAGGATGAGCTTGTCTTCAAGAAGATTAAAACTGGTACTTTGGGTAGCATTTTCTGTGGTTTAAGGACCTTAGTTATATATGAAGGAAGAATATGATTTGCCATACTTAAGTCTCTTTTTGTCTCCCCTATCAACTATTTGCATTGAATTATTATTATTTTTTTTTTTTTTTGAGACGGAGTCTTGCTCTTTCGTCCAGGCTGGAGTGCAGTGGCGCATCTTGGCTCACTGCAAGCTCCGCCTCCCGGGTTCACGCCATTCTGCCTCAGCCTCCCTAGTAGCTGGGACTACAGGCACCCACCACCATGCCCGACTAATTTTTTGTATTTCTTTAGTAGAGACGGGGTTTCACTTTGTTAGCCAGGATGGTCTCGATCTCCTGATCTCATGATCCGCCCACCTTGGCCTCCCAAAGTGCTTGGATTACAGGTGTGAGCCACCGTGCCCGGCCTGCACTGAATTTTTATGTAGTTTTCAGTGAGTCCAGGATGTTCCACAAAAGCCTTTTCCTTTGATTACTTCAGTGTTGCCTTATCTCTTCTGAAATTCTTTATGCCTTCCAGTGTTCTTTTATGTTAAGTTCAATGGTTTTGCACTTTACTTATCTCTTCCTAACTAAAAATCCCCTTGCTCTCTTCTTTCTTCATTCATCACATTTTAAAATCATGATTAGCAATGTCCTTCCTTAGTTTCCCAAATCTGCCTTCCTAACTTGATTTAGGCATTGCCTCAAAGCACACTTCCTCGTGTCATATGGTATGATTTGTATCTGTACTATACTATAATAGATCTTTAGTTTTTTCTCAAGCACTTGTTGATAAGTCACTTGCTGCAAAAATGCCATGAATTCCAGGAAAGTCACAAACCTCAGTTTCCTAGTCCCCAAATCCCTGCCTCCCTGATAAGGAAGAGATGAGAAATGGGCTGAAGTGCTTGCAGACTTGTATTGAACACTGAGTTGGTATAAAACACTGGGACTGTCCATGAAAATATAGTGTATAGTCCTTTCAGATGAACAGACAAACAGATGTGTGCTAGCTGTTATATAAGTTAGGAAGAAAGTCAAGGAAGGGTCAAGTAGAGAGATAAATATTATGCTTATTCAACAAAGCAACTGACACTTAACTGAAGAGGACAGAGACCGTGGGTGACATCTGCGTGGGGGCCCTGCTTGAAGGATGGGGAGGATTTGCACCTACAGACATCGAGGGCAGCGTGGCATGGAAGTTTGAAAGTTTGCAGCGACCTTAAGGAACAGCAGGGAAAGGAGGAGATGCATATGAGTAGAGGGATAGAATGGGGTATCTGCTGAGTGTCATTTGCTTCATGCAAGGAGTGCTGGTTTGGGTTGGGAGAGGACCTGATCCAGCAGGTGTTTTGTTTTAGCAAGACAACGCTGGATAATGTCTTCTAGTTGAAATATAAGAGGAGTGAGGCAGAGAGAGAGACTCATAATCGTCTGGTGGCAGAGATAAGGATCTGAGGGAGGGAGGCATGGGGGTTGACAGACACAAGTAGACAGATACAGGTGATGTGGTGGCGTGAAGTGTCCTGTCCACAAGTCCCGGGTGGTGGTGTTTGTTGCTTCTCCCTTTTGGTGCTACCTTCACTATCCTGTCCTCTCTTCCTTGATCACATTTAGCTGAAGCCCTAAGAGGATGGTTTGGGCTTGTTCTGTATATGGCCATGCTGGTCAGACACACTTTTTTATTGTTGTGGATGTCATGTACTCTTCTTTTGGTAGAAAAAAGAGACTGTCTCTGAGGCACCACCTTTGCTGTTCAGCGATGAAGAAGAGAAGGAGGCACAACTTGGAGTGAAGTCTGTGGATAAGAAGGTTGAGAGTGCCAAGGAGTCATTAAAATTTGGGAGAACTGATGTGGCTGAGTCAGAAAAGGTGGACTTTTTTCTCTTGTATACTTGAATGCATTTGTCTCTCGTATGTTGTTTCAAACACACACAACCCCTTAAGTTTTTTGACCACAGAAAATAAATGGCCCATTTGTAGACAGATTTGAAAACATAGACAAGCAGGCTGTGTCCCCACAGTGCAGGAAGCCTCTGCAGGGCCTTTCCTCCCGGCCCTTCTCCAAGACATGTGCGCACTGTGGTGTGCCTGCTCCTGTCTCTGTGGTTACTGTCACGTCATGGCATCTTTGCTTTCTAACTTGTTCTCTTCTGTGCAGTGTTCCTGTTACCCTTGGTCCTCCTTTGGTCCCCAAGTGCACTTGAATTTAAATGTCAGTTTTAAGGAGATTTTAGTTTAGCATCCTTTTACTTTTAGATGATATTGGCAAGGATTACAGAGTAGAGTGAAATTTCTACTCTTTCTAAAACACTAGCTTTCAAGTCCTGGACGGTCTGCCGTCTCTTGCAGGAGGCCTGTGGGTAGTTCTGCTGGCCACACCTGGGCATCCAGCTTTGTGGTTGCCTTCAGTCTCTATATGCCTCTTTTCTTTCTCTAACTTTTCTTATACGCTGTGTGTCCAGCTGCTTAGGTCTAAGATCTCCCAGGGCCTGTGTGAAGAGCGTTGCATTTGCATTTGCTGCTGAGGCTCCTTGGAGCTACAGTGATACAAGCATTTCATTTGTACCTGTGTTCCTGTGTGAAATTCTCTTCCTAGTGGCTGTGTGTGGACCCCAGTCCTATCCCAGTCCTGGTCCACACTTGACTCTGACTGGTTGCTGTACTGCCCTCTCCCTGAGTGTAAGCCCCTTGCGGACTAGGCCCAGTTTGTTTTGCTCACCATCATATCTGTAGTACTGGCATATTACCTTGCACACAGTAGGCACTATGTTATAAACTTTGTATTTCTTTAAAGAAGCATTTTTTTAATAGTTTGAGTACTCTGAAATCGGGATGTACCTCATAATCAATGGTATCTTACCTGAAATGTGCCATTTGTTGAATGAATAAATACTGCATTTTAGAATTATTTCAGAGATTCTTCTTCAATTGCCTATACAGTGTAAGCCTTTTACAATTTGAGGGTCTGATTTTCCTGATTAGATTTCCCCCTTGGGGCTTATGTATTAGTTAAATGCTACGAATTCATGGTCCACTCCCAATGATTGGCACTTGTATTGGTTATCTTTGACACTTAGAAGTTCTTCCTAGTTCATGAGCAACCAGTGTGCATCAGGATTATAGCCATCCTATCACTTGATAGGAGAGAGGGACCCATGGTCTTAATGCTTGGAAAAGTTATCTTTGGCTACGGATGATTGTACAAGACTGTCTCTTGGAGCAGCCAATCAAGAATTGACCTCAGTGTTTTGTTACTTGGGCACAGATGTGATTCACTGTGCCCTGAGTCATGCAAATGTGGCAGTTACTGAATTAACGAGAAGCTTGGCAGGCTCCATGATAGGATTTGTATTTCCAGGTGTTACTTATTTTTTCCCCCTATTATTTTCATTTTCAGGAAGGACTTTTGACTAGATCTGCTCAGGAAACAGTCAAGCATTCTGATTTATTTTCTTCATCATCCCCATGGGACAAAGGAACCAAGCCTAGAACCAAAACTGTTCTTAGCTTGTTTGATGAGGAAGAGGATAAAATGGAAGATCAAAACATTATCCAGGCTCCACAGAAAGAAGTAGGAAAGGTAAGCAAAAAGCAATAGTGGTTCAAGTCTCTGGATGAGATAAAAGACTCTCATCTCATGGTTGTCATTCTGTCATGTGAGTTTCTGAAGGAATCTTAACCTTCAATGTAGTGTGTTAATGATTCTGTGCAGTCATTTAGATATTTGGGAATCTTAATCAGGAACTCTTACCTCAAGTAGCAGTGTTAGGATAGGGGATTAGAATTTCACCCCCCCTCTTCTGGGATTTACAGACCTTGTTGTTCCTTCTAGCAAAACTTTGCCCCTTGGCCAGTTGTGGGATGTAAACAGCAGGAAAGGGAAGTTAGGCTGGAGTTGTACAGTTAAGTATTTCTAACATTCAGTTTAAGAAAAAGTGTTGTAGATGAACCTTTCATACTGATCAGGTGTCAGCAAACTATTTCTATAAAGGACCATATAATGACTATTCTAGCTTTTGCAGCCTATTTGGGCTCTGTCATAACTGCCTAGCTCTGCCATTGGCAGCATGAAAACAGCCCTAGGAAACATGAAGATGGATGGGCATGACTGTGTTCCAGTAAGTTTTATTAATAAAAATAGGTGATGGTCAGCTGGGCATGGTGGCTCACACCTGTAATCCCAGCACTTTAGGAGGCCAAGGTGGGTGGATCACAAGGTCAAGAGATCGAGACCATCCTGGCCAACATAATGAAACCCTGTTTCTACTAAAAATACAAAAAATAGCTTGGCGTGATGACGCTTGCCTGTAATCCCAGCTACTTGGGAGGCTGAGGCAGAAGAATTGCTTGAACCAGGAAGTCAGAGGTTGTAGTGAGCCGAGATCGCACCACTGCACTCCAGTGTGGCAACAGAACGAGACTCCATCTCAAAAAAAAAAAAAAAAAAAAATAGATGATGGTCATTCTGTGAGGTTAGTATGACCCTGATATTAAAACTAGACAGTGACATCACCAGAAAGCTAGATATCCTTTATGAATGTAGAGGCCAAAATCCTCAACAAAAATACTACTAAACCCAATTCAGCAAAATATAAAAAGGATTGCACATTATGAGAAGTGAGATTTACCCCTGGAATGCAAGGTTGGTTCAACATCTAAAATTAGTTGATATAATGCACTGTATCAATAAAATACAGAATTAAAAGGCGCATGATCATCTCAACAGATGCAGAAAAAGCTTTTAATAAAATCCAAACCTTTTCATGGTAAAGCACTCAATTAGGCATAGGAGGAAGCTTAATGAACTTGATAAAGGACATCTATGAAATCCCTCAGCTGACATCATACTTAATGGTGAAAGACTGCATGCTTTTCAACCCTAACATCATGAACAACACAACAATGTCCACTCTTGGTAATTCTAATCAACCTTGTACTGGGGATTCTAAGCAGGCCATGTAGGTGAGAAAATGAAATAAAAGGCATTCAGATTGGAAAGGAAAAAGTGAAATGAAGCAATCTGTATTTGCAGATGGCATGATCTTTTATATAGAAAGTCTTAAGGAATCTGCAAAAAACATCCATTGGAAATAATTAAAGTCATTAAGATTGAAGGATGTAAGATCAATATGTGAAAACCAATTGTAGTTCTGTAAGCTAGTAATGAACATTTACTAACTTACAAAAGTTACTACTAGTAACTTTCTTTTTTTTTTTTTTTGCAATGGAGTTTCACTCTTGTCCCCCAGGCTGGATTGAAATGGCACAATCTTGGCTCACTGCAACCTTTGCCTCCTGGGTTCAAGCGATTCTCCTGCCTCAGCCTCCTGAGTAGCTGGGATTATAGGCACCCACCACCATGCCCAGCTAATTTTTGTATTTTTAGTAGAGACAGGGTTTCACCGTGTTGGCCACGCTGACCTTGAACTCTTGACCTCAGGTGATCCACCTGCCTTAGCCTCCCGAAGTGCTGGGATTACAGGCATGAGCCACTGCACCCAACCTACTAGTAGTAACTTTCATAAGCAATTACCAGCTTATGAATGAAATTAAGAAATCAGTTTCTTTTATAGTAATACCAAGAAGGGTAAAATACTTAGGAGTAAATTTAGCAAAAGAAGTACAAGACTTGTAAACTAAAATCTACAAAACATTGAAAGAAATTAAAGACCTAAAATTGATGGAAAGACATCTCGTGTTTATGGACCAGAAACCTTAATATTGGTAAGGTGGCAATACTTCCTTCCCAAATTGATTTATTGTAATCTCTATCAGAATTCCAGCTTGCTTTTTGCAGAAATGGACAAGCTGATCCTAAAATTTTTATGGAACTGTAAGAGACCAAGAATAGCCAACAGTCTTGAAAAGGAAGAACAAAGTTAGAAGACTCACACTTCCTGATTTCAAAACTTACTTTAAGACAGGATGGTATTGGCATAAGGTTAAAATATATAGATCAGTGAAGTAGAATTGAGAGTCTAGAAATAAACCCTCACATTTACAGTCAGTTGCTTAAGGTGCCAAGATATTTCAGTGGGGACAGAATAGTCTTCAGCAGATGTGCCAGGATGCTGATTATCTACATGCAAAGGGATGAAGTTGGACCCATTAATAAATAAACTCAGATCCAATGTAAGATCCAAATGTAAGAACTAAAACTGTACAACTCCTAGAATCTAGAGAGTATGTGAGTAAATTATCATGACCTTGGATTAGGCAAAGCCTTCTTAGATAAGACACCAAAAGCACAAGTGACAAAAATAGCTAAATTGGACTTTATTTAAATGAAAAACATTGTGCTTCAAAGGGCACCATCTGGAAAGTCAAACGACCACCCACAAAATGGGAGAAAAGATTTACAGATCATGTATTTGATAAAGGACTCAGATCCAGAATATGTAAAAGACTTATAAGTCAATAATAAAAAGACAAATAGCCCAGTTGAAAGAAGGGATAGGCCAGGCGTCGTGGCTCATGCCTGTAATCCCAGCACTTTGGGAGACCAGGACGGGAGGATTGCTTTAGGCTGGGAGTTCAAGACCAGCCTGGGCAACATAGCAAGATCCTGTCTCTACAAAAAATTTTAAAAATTAGCCAGGCCTGGTTGCGTGCTCCTATAGTTCTATCTCCTTGGGAAGTTGAGGCAGAAGAGTCCTTTGAGCCCAGGAGTTCAAGGCTGTAGTGGGCTATGATCACACCATTGCACTCAGGCTGAGTGACAGAACGAGACCCTGTCTGAAAAAAAATAGGTAAGACAGACATCTGAATAGAGATTTTACTGAAGAAGATAGACAAATGGCCAAAAAGGATATAGAAAGATGCTCAGCATCAGGGAAGCCAAAACCACAGTGACATACCACTTCATACCCGGGAAGAGGACCATAATAAAAAAAAAAAAAAAGGGAAGTAACGAGTGTTGGTAAGGATGTGGATAAATGGAAATTCTCATTCCTTGCTGCTGCAAGTGTGGAACAGTACAACCACTTTGGAGAACAGTTTGCTGTTCTTCAAATTCTTATAACATAAAGCTACCACACAATCCGGAATTTTATTCCTGGGTACATATCCAAGAGAAATAAAAACATGTTCACACAAAACTTGAATATGATTGCTCCCAGCAGCATTATTCGTAATAGCCAAAAGATGGAAACAATGGCTAAACATAATATAGTATATCCATACAATGGAATATTATTTGGTAATAAAAAAGGCAAAGTACTGATACATGCTGCCACATGGATGAACCTTGAAAACATTCTAAATAAAATAAGCCAGTCATGAAAGACCACATATTATGTGATTCCATTTATATGAAATGTCCAGAATAGGCATATCAATGGAGACAGAAAGTAGATTAGTAGTTACTGGGGGCTGGGAGTAGCAGTGAGCAGGAATGGATAATTACTGCTAATGGTTTGGGGTTTCTTTTGGGAGTGATGAGAATATTCTAAACTTAGATTGTGGTAGTGGATACACAGATCTGAATATACCAAAAAATCATTACATTTTATACGTAAATGGGTAGATTTTATGGTATATGAATTTGATCTCAATGGTGATGTTATGCAAACCAGGTTGGCAGGTCATAGATTGCCAATCCTTTTTATAGATCTAACCAAAGAAATAGTCTATGTTTATTTCTACAAAAAATGTTATATGAATTTTTTTGTTATACCAATACTATAAGCTTATTTATAAATGAGAGCTGCACACAGTGAATATGATTAATTTGATATATTTTCTCCCAGTCTCTTACTGTGTATGGTTTTGTAATATTTTTCCATAGTTGTGAAATATTTAACATTACTTGCTGTGTTAAACTCATTTTTATATATAACAATAATAATTATTGTTAATGTGATTTATTTTGTTAGAAGTAAGTTTTTCATTAGTTTTTTTGGTTTTTTTGTTTTGTTTTGTTTTGTTTTGTTTTGAGATGGAGTCCTACTGTGTTGCCCAGGCTGGAGTGCAGTGGCGTGATCTCGGCCCACTGCAGCCTCTGCCTCCCAGGTTCAAGGATTCTCCCACCTCAGCCTCCCAAGTAGCTGGAACCACAGGCACACGCCACCACACCCGGCTGATCTTTGTATTTTTAGTAGAGGTGGGGTTTCACCACATTGGCCAGGCTGGTCTCGAACTCCTGGCCTCTGGTAATCCACCCACCTTGGCCTCCCAAAGTGCTGGGATTACAGGCATGAGCCACCACGCCTGGCCTTTTTGTTAAGTTTTAATCTGTGGCTGTGATAAGGAAATAGGGATGAATTTTAGAATGTCAGGTCTGGAGCATTGTATTATCAAACCAATAATGTTGATGGTAACTTTTAAATGTTAGATATCTAGTAAACAAAAAGGGACTCACTCGGAGTCTGAAAGTAGGGCAGAAGTGATGGACAGCCATAGGAAGGCTTGTGGTCGCACCTGTGCCAGGTCTTTGGCCTGCAGTGCTTACAGGTGAGGGACACATACTTGACCACTCTGTGTAGTTTGTGCTTGATTCAGCTGCTGTCTCTTCTTCCCTTTGGAAATGAGATGAAGAGAATTCATTCAGTTTTATGTTTTTTACCTTCAAAATGTTTCTCATTATGGAACTAATGGATTGCTTTTCTAATAAAAAATTTAGATACTATACAAAGTTTATATAATATATATAACCTGGAAAGATTATCTCTAAAGCTTGTGCATATATATATATGTAAACTTTGTATTTATAAATATATTTTCTGGTATTTTTGGAAGCGCCATAGCATTCCATTTTGTCAATGTTTCATTCCCCTACTGAGTGGCTTTTAGGCTGTGGCCAGCCTTTTGCTAATATAATACAGCTGCAGGGGACATCTTTGTTGTGTCCATCTTTACATATGTAACTTCCTTGAGATAAGTTCTTACAGCTCTAATCACACATGACCTTCCCTCCTGTTCCCAGGGCCGCGATCCTGATGCCCACCCCAAGAGCACAGGTGTCTTCCAGGATGAAGAGCTGCTTTTCAGCCACAAGCTCCAAAAGGACAATGACCCAGATGTTGACCTTTTTGCTGGCACCAAAAAAACCAAGGTCAGTTCCAAATGGTTCCCCACAGTATGACTTGTTATTGTATTGGGTGCTGTCTCAACAGCTCACCTAGTTCTCTTTGTAAATTGTTTTGCTTTTGGATATTGAACTTGGGTCTTGTTTATTCTAGCTGTTAGAGCCAAGTGTTGGGAGCCTGTTTGGGGATGATGAAGATGATGATCTTTTCAGCTCTGCCAAGTCCCAGCCTTTGGTACCAGCCTTTTGTTCTCAATACTGGGTTGTGTGGGAAAGATTCTGGGAAAGGAAACTAACGTCCAGTTAGATCATTAAGGAAAATCCTAGGAGAGTCGTGCTGCTTCCTACTAAATGAATGGCAAATAACATGCTGAGGGGAGCGTGTGTGGAGGATGCAATGCTTAGTTTCTGTTGTTCCTCATTTTATGTTCCCTATACTAACATTAAAACATTAATAATCCAGGCTCTCTGACTGTACTGCACATCTGTGTGATGTTTAAATGGTTGATTGAAAGACCATTGCATACACTGGGGTGACTAAATATTCGTGCCTTTCAGGTGCAAAGTTTTGAGTCTGAGTTTTAGCCTTTCTATGTCATTTTCTCCCCCAGCCCCAGTAGGTTTTTGTAAGTACTCTGTTTTCTTTTTATCATAGAGAGGACTCCTGTGACAGCCACAGTCTTCAGAATGCTATTTCTGAAATGCTACCTTTGAGTTGGTTCAGCCCTCATTTGAGAAAGTATTTTTAAGACTCAGAAGCCAGGATTGTTTTTTGCATTATGATTTTTCCTTAAAATTTCTAAGATATTTGATGGCTTTTTGGTATTTTTTTTCTTTTGAAGGTACAAGAGAAAAAGAGAGTAGTGAAAAAAGACCACTCTGTTGACTCTTTCAAAAACCAGAAACATCCTGAATCCATTCAAGGTAGTAAAGAAAAAGGCATATGGAAGCCGGAAACACCTCAGGTTAGAAATCCTCTTTAAGGATTTTCAGCTCTTGTTTGCATCCCAGTACAGAGAAATTCCATTATGCAGACCCACAGTTATTCAGACTTGTCTGCATTAAGGAGGAAACAGCAACCAGGGCTACCGCTTTGTCTTCACTGCACTCCCCCCAAGTCATCTCCCCTCTCCTCGCTCCACACGCCAGAGTTTCATGAATCTATACTTTAATAGTTAGTGTTTTTTGATGCCATGCCAGATTTAACTCTGAAGTGGAGTTAAGGTAGGATGAAGAATCTTCTTCCCACTAAAGAATTTATTTCTCCCTCTGGATTTCCTTGGAATAGAATTAAAATAGAAATAAATATAAATTACATCTGATTTCCTGCCTGCTCTCAGTGTTGCCTCTCCCAAGGTCATTGCTGTTGGGCCGTACTCTGCAGCAGTCTTCCCAGAACGCTGTGGAGCTCCTCCTGGGAACAGCCCAGGACTGGAGAGCGAGTGCCAGTTCCACGTGCAGGTGTCCCAGGGTGTCTCACTGAAGCCTTAGTGTCCTGAGCCGTAAACCTGAGGCACTTGGACGAACACATCACCACTGACCCTTCCTGGGGCTCAGATCTTTTGCTTTTAGAGCCAGTGCATTAGGCTATGGTTGAATTTTTGTGTGCTCCTTGAAATTTCTATTTGATAACCAACATGGTAATTTTGCCTGCTGGTCAGTTTTAGGTGCTCTGATAAACTGTGACTCTTGGGAATCTTACTCATCTTGTATTCCTTGACTCCATATCTGATCTGGCAGCTTTCCACTTACGTGACAGAGGAGGAGGCATACGTGAAGTAGTGCTAGTGAAACATCAGGCCCCAGGAGAGATTTGAATGCCTTTCCCATTAAAGAGCTACAGAAAGTGACAGTTTTGCTCCATCACAGATTTATTTACAGGCATAAGAAACACTTGTCTTTCTGTTTCCCAAATGGATTTTTAACTGGATGTAATTTTACACAGGACTCATCAGGTCTCGCTCCATTTAAAACCAAAGAACCATCCACTCGGATCGGGAAGATACAAGTAATTAAAACACTGGAATCTTCATTGCCTGCCCTGTGGCATCTATAAACTTTTTTGGGTTTCCTACTTTTGTCAGCTGCTGCCAAGCATCTTCTCATCTCTTCCCCCGCCTCCCCTCCCCTGCACCTAGTTGTTGTCTCCTGTGTGCTGCGTCTTTAACATCTATTTTTTGAGCCCAGTGGTGGGCATAGGTGTAAGACGCTCTGTTTTAATTCTGAGACTAGATCGGGCGATTTTCCTACGTTTCTCTACTCCTCTCGTATTATACATTATGTGCACCGAATCTTGTCATGTGTCACAATAAAGATAATAGACTGCTGTGTTGAAGAACAAATACAGAGTTTCATTTTTCTTCTTTAGGCAAATTTAGCGATCAACCCAGCGGCCTTGCTGCCCACAGCGGCTTCCCAGATCTCTGAAGTAAAGCCTGTTTTGCCAGAATTGGCTTTTCCTTCATCTGAACACAGAAGGAGCCACGGTCTGGAAAGTGTGCCTGTCCTTCCCGGGAGTGGGGAGGCCGGTGTGAGTTTTGATCTTCCAGCTCAGGCAGACACCTTACACAGTGCAAACAAGGTGATGAAACCATCTTTGCTTCCTTGCTCTCTTCTTTTAACCAGAACATGCATATGCTTCTTTCTAGTTTATCAGTTGCATACACAGCAGTCTTTGACTCTCCTTTTGAAGGAGGTGCCTCATCCTTCCTTCAGCCACTCCCCACTCCATTCTCCCCACCCCCCTCATCCTGCACCTGCTTTTCCGTGGCCTGCATTTGGTACATTTGCATTCTGCTCAGTAGCCACAGTAACGTCTCACCACTTTGGCTGGTGTCTGACACCTGCAGGTTTCCAGCACTGCCACCTGGGGGTCTTCTAACCACAGAGCAGATCATGCCCCTCCTGCTGGCGCTTCCTCACTACTCCAAGGAGAGCATTCGGGCTCCTGGGTTTGGTATGAAACCCCTTTGCAATCGGTGCCAGCCCATGTGTGCAGCTTCCTCACTAGTCACTTCACACTTTCCAGCCTGACTCCAGGCACACCAGGTGCCACTCCCTGAACACACATGGTCTGTTCTGCTGCTGCCCAAGGCTCCTGCTGCCTCCTCACCAGGAATGCTCCTCTCTGTCCACAGCTGTGCTTCCACATCCCCACTTCTGTGACTGTGCCCTGCACTCCCCGCACCAAGTTCCCACAGCAGCGACACTGTTTCATGGGATCTCCTCAATGGACTGTGAACCCTTTGAAGTTTTCCTTTCATTGTAGTTGGGTTTCTTGTTTCTATCCAGTCTCCCTTCTCTAGAAAGCTTTAGCTGATTTCCAAGTAAGCGACAGGACACAGAATGACCTACCCCGGCAAATAGATTCATTTCAAATGTTTCCAAACCTGTTTCCTTGTGCAAAACAAAACCGCCTTCCTTTTAAAGAGAATTTTCATTGGCTTTTTTTTAGTTAAGTTTAAATTGGCAACTAAAATTGTGACATTCCCCTGAAGTTGACAACACAATCATACTTTGCCCAAAGTAGATTGTAGCTTCTCAAAATTCTACTTGATTGTATATTTTGGAAACTATCATAAATACTGCATCATTGCTACTAAGTGATTCATGTTTTGAGATTATATGAAAAGTTCTGATTTCTAAGCCATATTTCTTATGTGGAATATTTAACGTTTGAATTCAATGTTTATTGACTTGAAGAAAACAGCACCTTAGATTACCTCTCTTTATTGTGTCATGTTTCTCCCCGCTCCTGGAGCCTGAATTTAGACTAGCCCCCTAACAAAGGTTAGTACCAGAATTCCCCGATTCTTTCTTGTTTTGAAAGATACCCACGTTTCTATTGAGGGTAGAGTAGGGGCCAAGGGAGGGGTTGTGAGACAGAGAGCCAACATACCTACTTTCCAGGTTTCCAGCAACAGATAAAACTTTTTGTGTGAAACTGAACTGAAACTGCCCTGAGAAGATTAAAAAATGGAGAACTCTAAAGGATTAAGAATGACTTAGTCTTGGAGTACTAGGAGCTATTAAACTCCTTCCTTGGAAATCATTAAGAAATAACCTCTTCTATGTTCTTAGATAATATCTTCATTGAAGTAGACCAGATAACCTTACAATATTTTGAGTCACTGATTCTTTGCCATGGTAGCTTTGAACACTTTATTTTATCGTCAGATCAATGTGTGTTTTTTTGCCATTGCAGAGCCGTGTCAAGATGAGAGGGAAGCGTAGACCGCAGACCCGTGCAGCTAGGCGGCTGGCTGCTCAGGAGTCCAGCGAGACTGAGGACATGAGCGTCCCCAGAGGACCCATTGCACAGTGGGCTGATGGCGCCATTTCCCCAAATGGCCATCGGCCACAGCTCAGAGCAGCCAGTGGAGAAGACAGCACTGAGGAGGCCCTGGCAGCTGCCGCTGCACCTTGGGAAGGTGGTCCTGTGCCTGGAGTGGACAGAAGCCCCTTTGCAAAGTCTCTGGGTCATTCCAGAGGGGAGGCTGACCTTTTTGATTCTGGGGACATCTTTTCCACGGGCACTGGATCTCAGTCTGTGGAGAGAACAAAACCCAAGGCAAAGATAGCAGAGAATCCTGCCAACCCACCAGTGGGTGGTAAAGCAAAGAGCCCCATGTTTCCTGCTCTAGGTGAGGCCAGCAGTGATGATGATCTCTTTCAGTCTGCTAAACCAAAACCAGCAAAGAAAACAAATCCCTTTCCTCTCCTGGAAGATGAGGATGACCTCTTTACAGATCAGAAAGTCAAGAAGAATGAGACAAAATCCAATAGTCAGCAGGATGTCATATTAACAACACAAGATATTTTTGAGGTAATAGGACTTAACACGTTTTTGTGTCTGTTCTAAGTTAAGGAAGGTATCTGATTGGCTTATTTGAGCCATAGATTATGTCTAGCTTGTTGCGTGCATACCCCATAGCCACTTGCTTAGTAATTATAATTAGGCTCTTTTATTAATAAGTTTAACATTGATTCAGAAGTGGTTTTTTGTTTTGTTGCATGTAGATTGTATTTCTTGGCTGGCCATGATCATTGATACTGGTCTTGGTTTCTCTAGTTTTTACAGTTTTTTTATTTTTATAGAATATTGTAATCAGCTTCCTGGGCATGCCACTCGGTGACATGGCATACAGCTCCACTGGTCCAGCTTGGGAGTTTAACCTCTGGTTCTGGGGACATTGGCCCTGGCTGGAGCTGACAATGTAGTGCATGCAGGCAATAAGACTTTCAGTGGCATTTGCTCAGCAGATGTTTATTGAGCACCTGGGGACTGCAGGCACGAGGTGAACTCAGAGAAGTGCTAGGCTCCTCAGAGCTCTCTGGGAAGATAATCAAATACAAACAGGGCAATGGATAATTAAGATGTTTTCAAATAGTACTAAGTGTCATGAAGAAAATAACCTGGGGCAGAGTGGTGGGTAGGGCTGGGAGGTGCTCCTTTAGGCAGGACTGGTAGAGAAGGTGTCACTGCAGTGCCGGCATTTGAGCCGGGGTGAGATGGGCGGGCCAAGCTGTGCAGAGATCTGGGGTAGTGCATCCCAGGCAGAGTGGGCAGTCTCGAGGCTGTTCCACACACCCTGGCCAATTGTATTTCCATAGCTCGTTGTTGTGTTTGAGCTTAAAAAGAAAAATTGATTTAACATTATTTTGTATGTATTTTTGGCTTAACAAGGATGATATATTTGCTACGGAAGCAATTAAACCCTCTCAGAAAACCAGAGAGAAGGAGAAAACATTGGAATCTAATTTATTTGATGATAACATTGATATCTTTGCTGACTTAACTGTAAAACCAAAAGAAAAGTCCAAAAAGAAAGTGGAAGCCAAGTCTATATTTGATGATGATATGGGTAAGTTTGGTTTTCTACATCTGACCTAGAGAATTCTTACCTTTCTGTCACTTGGTATTTTTCTTGCTACCTTTTCTTGGCCCTTTTCTGGAAAATGCACCCCAGCGGGTTCACTTCAGTGTAATCCTGAGTTAGGCTGAAGATAGGTAAGAGATGGACTAATTATTTTAGTGAAGTAACTCTTTCCTATGATAGTCATCAAAGAATTTGAAGGCACCCAGAGTTTGACGTTTAAGTATAATTTAACTTTGATCTCAGTGCACCTCACCAATCATCTGTGACACACCCCGGTGTTATGAAAGGAGGTTTGATCAGAAATGACCTCACGTGCTAAAGTAGGCTGAGGGGACTGCCTTGGGTGTGATGTGGTTGGTTGAGTCAGAGCTCCAGATAGACAGGGAGTGTCCATGGTTCTGTGCGAGAAGAGAGCAAGTCTAGACCTGGGTGTAGGCTCTACCTCAGGCGTTGCATTTCACTGAGGTCTTTGGTGTTTGGGAACAAGCTTGTCTTCCTTATATGGCACAACTTCTGCTTTATTAGTAGACAAGGCAAATGCCCGAGAACCCTAAATATTGGACTTTTGATAAATCCTGTGGGCTGAGGCCACATACACATTTCCTACTCTCCCCATCAATCTAGACCTTGAGACTAACTGGGAGACAGCTGGTGCTGCAGAGTCACACACTGGCTCTGTGCCTCCAGCAAGCCGTGTGCTCTGTCTCCCCTGCTTCCCGCCACATGGAGTGCAGAAGGGAACTCATTCATTATTTTAAATACAAAAAAAGTAATACATGCTTATTGTAATAGATTCATGCAATTCAGAAAATGTAAGAAGTGAATAACCCCTAGAGGTAATAGTAACAGTTTGGTGTGTATCCTTTCAGACACAGTGATATTAATATATGTTTGTGTACACATCAATATATACCCACCTTTTTAAAAAGTAAGAATATATTTACCTATTCTGCTCTGTCTTTTAGTTACTTAATGTCTTTTCATGTCAGTACATAGAGATCTCCTTCCTTGTTTTCAGTGGTGTGCACGATTTCTTTGTATTTAGCCATTAGCCTGTTGACGGCAATCTCAGTTGTTTCTGTTTTCTTTATTACAAATAATGCTGTGGTCTTTACCATTTGTGTACACCTAACTTTATGTATACATGTTAAATCATGGTTGGATAAAACCCTAGCAGTAACATTACTGGGTAAGTACCATAATTAGATAAGACAAGCTTTTGAGTCAGTGAAACACTAAAAGAATGCAGTGACGGAGGCTTACAGTCTTACATCGAGATGCCTCAAATCAGTGCATTTATTCTGAAAGAAAACAGGTGGGTCCTATGTTGGATTTCCCTTTGCGTATTTTTATTGCTCTTTTAAAACCCAGTATGAAAAGAATATCTAAATAAGTCCATTGTCCCTGATGGTAGGGGCGTGGGCTGGTTTGGAGATCAAGTTACGCTTCCCTTTTTTCTGTCCTACACACGCACATACATACACTTTTGTAGCTGAAGAAATTGTGCTCCAAGAGAAACCTGTGTGTGATCATAAAATTTAATGAGTAACAAACACAGAACCAGAATCTAAGAGGCTTGAGTTCTAGGTTAGTGTTTTAGGGTACTCCATGCTGTTACCAGAGCTGGGTCTTTGGTGGTTTGCTTGCATGTGTCTTAAAAGTACCTTTCTCCACCCCTCTTCAGCAACCGTTCTTCTTTTTTCTTTCTAAAGATGACATCTTCTCCTCTGGTATCCAGGCTAAGACAACCAAACCAAAAAGCCGATCTGCACAGGCCGCACCTGAACCAAGATTTGAACACAAGGTGTCCAACATCTTTGATGATCCCCTGAATGCCTTTGGAGGCCAGTAGAGCACACAGGGTATCCACATGTTACCCTGCAGCTACATTGTTGAGTTAGTGATGATGTTGTATATGCTGATGGTCTTAACTGGATTACAAAAAGCAAATACTAGAACAGCTAGCTCATCGTTCACCCAATGTACTTGGTATTTTTCTGCACTGGTTTAATCATGCTTAATACTACAAAACAAAAATAAATATTTCACAGTGGTTGGTTTGTTTTGTTTTTAAACCACAGTTTGATTTAGTTAGCCTTGCTGGGGCCATAATATGCTTCAGGGTGTGTAAAAGAAGAAATCTCTTTGTGGCTTTCATGGGCAGGGAATCCCAGAGATAGCAAATGCCACCTGACCAGAAGTCTTTGTTATATGGATGGGAACCCTAACTTAGGGCCTGGGCAGGGGAAAGAGAAAGAAGGTGAGAGATTATACTTCATGAGTCTTAGCAATATGGGAGCAGGTTTTCACTGAATTCTGAGGGTGCCTCTGCATGTCCTCCAAGGCAAAGTTTGGCAAACTGTGGCCCCCCCACTGTCATATTTTGTTAATAAAATTTTATTGGAACACAACCACATTCATTTGTTTACTTACTGTCTATTGCTGCTCTCACCCTACCTCCAATGTAAGAGTTGAGTGATTATGACAGAGACTGGATGGCTCACAGAGCCTCAGATGTTTTCTATCTGCCCCTTTATATAAACAGTTTGCTGACCATTGCTCTAAGGCATCCTTTTCCATCCTTGTCTTGTGGAAGCAGCAGAATGAACCTAGGTAATAGCCAGGGGAAGTGCTGAAGATGGAAATGTCAGCCTCTAGAGCAGCACTGCCCCATAGAACTCCGCAGGAATGAAAATGTTCTTTATCTGCATCGACAAAGGCAGTAGCCACTAGCCACCTGGATGGCTGACCCCATTCTAATCTGTGTTTTTTGGTGCTCTGTCATCTTGCTGCTGACCTATTCAGCCTGTCACCACAGCACAGTCTTGTAGGCCGCCCAGGTTGGTCTCAGCGATCCTGGAGCTACTTACTTCTTCCTTGGGCACTGTAAGATCGGAAGGGGAATTACTCATACCCAGAGTCAAACATTTTGTACAGCTTCCACAGGTCAACCATTTGCCCAAGTCTGCTGTGAGAGTGACGTGATAACAGATAAGGGCACTTGCTAGTTGGCCACTCCTTTCCCCTATTCATTTTATGCATCTTCCTTCTGTCCTTAGGTTGAGATCTCCGAGTCGCTGTTGTCAGGCAGACTGCTGTCCTCCAGATTCAGGCCTGTGGGTCTGGGGAGCCCTGCTTGGTCTTGGAGGAGCAAGGGCTGCGCAGGTGACTTGGTGGCCTCAAGTGTATAGGTACCTGGATGGTGCGAGGAGATGCTGGCTCTGAAATATTTCCTAATCCCGCTTGCAGATCAACTGCTGACTAGCGTTTAGGTTACAGATATATTAGACGGTTGATGTGATTCTGTAGCTCGTATTTAGAACTTTAGGGATGTTTTCACATATCAGTAAATGAAGATCTATGTAAACATTTTTTTTTTTTTTTTTGAGATGGAGTCTCGCTCTGTCACCCGGGCTGGAGTGCGGTGGCGTGATCCCGGCTCACTGCAACCACCGCCTCCTGGGTTCATGCCATTCTCCTGCCTCAGCCTCCCGAGTAGCTGGGACTACAGGCGCCCACCAGCACACCTGGCTAATTTTTTGTATTTTTAGTAGAGACAGGTTTTCACCATGTTAGCCAGGATGGTCTCGATCTCCTGACCTTGTGATCTGCCCGCCTTGGCCTCCCAAGGTGCTGGGATTACAGGCGTGAGCCACTGCGCCCAGCCTATGTCAACATTTCTAATGGTAGCTTCACATTCTGGATATCTTTATGTTGGGGAAAAAGTTTTAAAGGTAACTGCTCTTCTGTAGCAAAGCTTTTTTAGAGCAGAGGATGGAGCAAATTCTGAGTTACTGAAATTACGTATTCAGCGCTATTGCCTTGTTTACCTTCCATTTCATCTTTGGAGTTGTGTTTTTAGAACTTTTTCAGAAGGGATGAGATAAATGCCTTGGGAATTGATTTAGAAATCTTTTTGGTGTCTTTACTCTTAAGAGCTAGATATATTTTTTAATTGTAAAAAATTATGGAAATACTTTTTTCTCTACCTGCTCCCATTTTTTTTTTTTTTTTTAAGACAGGGTCTGGTTGTGTTGCCTAGGCTGGGGTGCAGTGGCATAATCATAGCTTGCTGCACCTTTGAACTCCAGGGCTCCAGTGATCCTCCCACCTTAGCCTCCTGAATGGCTGGGACTACAGGTGTGTGCCATCATGCCCAGCTAATTTTTAAAAAAAAATTTTTGTAGAGACAAGGGTCTGTTGCCCAGGCTGGTCTCAACCTTCTTACCTCAAGTGATTCTCCCACCTTGGCCTCCTGAATTGCTGGAATTACAGGCATGAGCCACAATGGCCAGCTTCTTTCTGTTTTCTTTGTTTCCTCTTCCCCTTCTGTTTTCTTCCTTTTTCTTTTTTCTTTTTTCTTTTTTTTTTTTTTAGCTGTTCTTGCATCATTTTCCATCCCATCTTTAAGTCTTCATTGCCTCCTCATTTTCCAAGATCATGAGTCCCACAGTATGCTCAGCTAAGCATGACCACACACCATTTCAAGAAGCTGTTCATGGACCCAGATTTTATTACCAGCTGGGTCTTTGTTCTCCTGCTGCAGCTTCCATTTGCTCCTCAGCTACCCTCTAGGCATCCAGTCTGGCTTAACCAGATTTCATGGCCTCATTTTGTCCTCTGCTACAGTGATTTCTACTCCTGAGGAGAAGCATAACTATCTTCTAGAGGGAAACATTTTCGCTCTTGGTTATCAACCTTGGTTCTTTTGGGATATTGGAAATTACCCCATTGACTGGACCCAGACTTACGGTGGAAGTTCCAGCACAATTAATGCTGAACGGGGTTGTGCTTTTTCTTCTGGCATATAGTTGAATTATCCATTCTCATTATAGGTGAAGGACTTGCAAATCTGTTTGTTATCTTCTACCCTCCCCCAGCCTATTATTTTCAGGGTCTCACTATGGAAGAACACTGTGGTGAAGGAAACAATCCAGATTCCTTTGGCAGTCATAGTCACTCATGTCTTTATTTCTGTCATGTGCATTTTGCAGTCCTGACACCTGACTTCTGTTGCTAGGGCTGCACCTGTGTAGGTACGAGTACTGTTGGCTTCGGGGATACACACTCTGGCAACTCTATAGGACAGTCTTATTTGATATAGCATAAGTATGTTTTTAAGAATTCATGTTATCCAAAATTATAAAAGCAGTTGTTTGAATGAGTGAAAGAAAGGGGATTAAGGTTAGAAAGCTCCATACAAAGTCATATATAAGCAATGCAGCTTTTTAATTTAGCTTTTATTTAAGAGCAATGACCCTTTACCACTATCGCCAGCAGTATTATTATCCTGGTACCTTGTATTACTCTTAATACCCATCATTTTGAAATATGGTGCAACAACACTCAAATGAGCTGCACTACAAGAAACAACTTTCCTTTCTGTAATGCCCTCCCTTTAGGATCACTAGAAGTCTGTACAATGCAATGCAGATTCCCGAATTAATGATCTTTCCTATCAGTGTAATAAAAACTCATATTATGGCAGATTCCTGTATGTGCATGTATGTTATGAGTTGGATAAACGTTGGTGGACTTCATTTGGAGTGAATCAGAATGGGATTCCTGTGAGAAGCCAACATCCCTCTAAACAAACTTTTGGAGCATGATATGGCTTGGATGTTTTGTCCCCTTCAAATCTCATGTTGAAATGTGACCCCAGTGTTGGAGGTGGGCCTACTGGGAGGTGTTTGGATCATGGGGGTGGATCCTCATGAATGTCTTGGTGCTGTCCTTGTGGTAATGAATGAGTTCTCACTCTGAGTTCACATGAGATCTGGTTTAAAAGAACCTGGGGGCCGGGCACCGTGGCTCACGCCTGTAATCTCAGCACTTCGGGAGGCCGAGGCTGGTGGATCACTAGGTCAGGAGATGGAGAACATCCTGGCCAACATCTAGAAACCCCATCTCTACTAAAAATACAAAAATTAGCCAGGTGTGGTGGCACGCATCTGTAGTCCTAGCTACTCGGGAGGCTGAGGCAAGAGAATTGCTTGAACCCAGGAGGCAGAGGTTGCAGTGAGCTGAGATCGTGCCACTGCATTCCAGCCTGGGTGACAGAGGAAGACTCTGTCTCAAAACAAACAAACAAACAAAAAAACAACCTCACACCTCCTTCCTCTCTCTCTCTCTTGTTCTCTCACCATGTAACATGCTGGCTCCTCTCCTCCTACCATGATTGTAAACTTCCTGAGGCCCTCACTGGAAGCAGATAACAGCATTATAACCCTTGTACAGTCTACAGAACCATGAGCCAAAATAAACCTCTTTTGTTTATAAATTGTCCAGTGTCAGGTATTCCTTTATAGCAACACAAACAGCTAACACAGGATAACCAAATAGTTATTAATGTCTAAAACTTGGAGAATACCTTACCTATAGCACAGGTTTGTTCTGAGGATCAATTGAAAGACTAAAATATCTGTTCTTTCCTTGAACAAAGCTTTAATGAGTACCAATATGTGCAAAACACTGTGCTAGGTGGTAGAGATCAGATGTGCTCCCTTCAGTTTAGTAATAAATGAAATTGTTAGGGACTGGGTGCGGTGGTTCATGCCTGTAATCCCAGCACTTTGGGAGGCCGAGGCGGGTGGATCACGAGGTCAGGAGATTGAGACCATCCTGGCTAACACAGTGAAGCCCTGTCTCTATTAAAAATATAAAAAATTAGCCAGGCGTGGTGGCAGGTGCCTGTAGTCCCAGCTATTCAGGAGGCTGAGGCAGGAGAATGGCGTGAACCCAGGAGGCGGAGCTTGCAGTGAGTCGAGATCATGCCACTGCACTCCAGCCTGGGCGACAGAGTGAGACTCTGTCTCAAAAAAATAATAAAAATAAAATAAAATAAAGAAATTGTTACGGGTGCAATATATGATGTAGGTAGTAGTGTAAAGGGGGTAGGTATAAAAGCTTTGTGGAATAGTTGATATTGGAGCTGAATGTTGAAAGGTGATTAGGTGCTTGTCAGGTAACCATGTGTGCACATGACAGTAAGTAGAGCAGAGCAGGAGCAACAATATAGAAGCTGAAGTGTTCTGAAGCTGCAGATGCAGATGATTAGAGGATAGAAGTACCAGAGATGTTGCAAGATGAGGTGAGGTTGTAGATGGGTAAAATGGGGCCAGAATGTGAGATGCATAATCTTGGGAGCATTTCTAAGGAGTCTGAATTTTATTCTATAGAGAGGGAGAAGTCATTATAGGACCTTGAGGCAAGAAATAACATGATCAGCTCTACGTTTTCAAAAGATAACTGTGCTCCACATTATGTGTCATTAGGGAAATACAAATTAAAACAGCAGTGACGTACTATTACATGACTGTTACAATGGCTGAAATCCAAAACACTGACAACACCAAAGCTGGGGAAGATGGGGAGCAACAGGAACTCTCATTCACTGCCAGTGGGAATACAAAATGGTACTTTGGAAGATTGTTTGACAACTTCTTACATATTCTTACTGTATGATCCAGCAATTATGCTCCTTGGAATTTGCCCAAGTGAGTAGCAAACATGTTCACACAAAAACCTGCGTGCAGATGTATATGGAAGCTTTTTTCATAATTGCCAAAACTTGGAAGCAACCAAGATGTCCTTCAGTAGATGAATGTATAAATAAACTCTACTATACCCAGCCAATGGACTGTTATTCAGCACCAAAAAGAAATGAGCTATATCAACCCATGAAAAGACATGGAAGAATCTTAAGTGTGTGTTACTAAGTGAAAGAAGCCAATCTGAAAAGGCCGTATACTATAAAATCCCGAATTACGTTCTGGAAAAGGTAAAACTATGGAGACGGTAAAAAGTGTAGTGTTTGCCAGGATCTGAGGGGAGAGAGGAATGAATAGGCAAAGCACAGAGGATTTGTAGCACAGTGTATGTATTCTGTGTGGTACTGTAATGGTGAATACACGTCATTATGCATTAGTTCAAGTCCATCAAGAGTGAACCCTAATGTAAATTACAAACTTCAATTTATGTGTGAAAATGATGTGTCACTGTGGGGTTCATCAGTTGTAATAAATGTACCACTCTGGTGCAGGTTGTGATAGGAGAAGGCTGTGGGAGTGAGGAGCATATAGGAACATTGTAATTTCTGCTCAGTTCTGCTGCTCAAAAAATGAAATCTATTCAAAAAGGAACGTTTTCATGTTTAGACTAACTTAGTTCATTTCCCTCATTTAGTTCCTTAATTGTTGAGGTTTCATTGCAATGCATTCTAAAGTCAAACATAAAATTATTTTAGAGCTTTGTGTGACTTTTCCCCTTGCTTAAACATCATTGCAGAATAATGTAAAAATATGATACTCTAATCTAGTTTTCATAAACTTTTTTCAAAGTTGAAAAAAAAACTAGCATCATGGACAGATGGGTTGAAAGAGTGAACGGCAAGAATAGAGGATCAAAACTAGGCCATGAAAATTGCTCAGTTGAGAGCTAATGAAGCCCTAAATTAAGTCCTAATCATTGTAGATGGAGTGGGTGACAGATTTAAACAATATTAAGAGGCTGGGCCCAGTGGCTCATGCCTGTAACCCCAGCACTTTGGGAGGCCAAGGCGGGCAGATCACAAGGTCAGGAGTTCAAGACCAGCCTGGCCAATATGGTGAAACCCCATCTGTACTAAAAATACAAAAAGTAGCCAGGCGTGGTGGTGCGTGCCTTTAGTCCCAGTTACTCAGGAGGCTGAGGCAGGAGAATCGCTTGAACCTGGGAGGTGGAGGTTGCAGTGAGCCCAGATCATGCCACTGCACTCCAGCCTGGGTGACAAAGCGAGACTGCGTTTCAAAAACAAACAAACAAACAAAAAACAATATTAAGAAGTCATATTGTCTAGAATTGGTCATTTCTAGGTGTCATGGGGTTGGGAGAAAATCCAAAATTATTGACAGATCATTTTGAGTGATGGCATGAAAGGCATCTCTTTACCAAGCTGGGGACTACAGGAAAGCTGGAGGTTTGTGGGAAAAATTATAAGTTTTGAGTACATTGGATTTCAGATGCCTCTGGAATATCATGCTTATGGAGTGGAGATTACTATCAAAACCACAATCTTTAAAAAGAACTGCTTCTTTAAACATGCTTATATTGTAGTGAGTTCAGTGATATATCCTTTGGTAGAAAAAATTGTAAAAAAATTTATGTATGGCACATTTCTCTGACGCTTGCACTTTCATAGTGTTCACTTTCTGTTCACCTAGGTTTACTTACTGATATCCTTCTCCCACTCTGAGGCTTTGCCTATCCTGAAATACATTTAAAAATTTACCCATGTCAGAAACACTTCCCAACTCATCCTATAAGGCCAATATTACCCTGATACCAAATCCAGGCAGACATAAAGAAAACTACAGATCATCTCTTATGATTATAGACACAGAAATCCTGAGGAAATACTTCCAGACCAAATCCATCAACATATGTAAAGGTTACATACTATGTCCAAATGGGATTTATCCCAGTAATGCAAGGTTGATTTGACACACAAAAATTAATGTAATATGTGAATAAAAGAGGAAAGAAAATCACATGATGATTTCAATAGACACTGAAGAAAGCATTTGACAAAATTCACACCCCTTCATGATTAAAAAGAAACCCCACTGAAATAGGAATAGAAGGGAAGCTCCTCAGCCTGATAATGGTTATCTATAAAACCCCACGGTTAACATTACAACTAATGGTTTCCTTCTACAGTCAGGAATAAGACAAGGATGTCCAGTCTCACCACTTTTATTCAATCTTATACTGAAGGTTCTAGAGCCAGGCAATTAGGCAAGAAAGGGAAATAAGAAGGGCATGGTGGCTCACGCCTGTAATCCCAGCACTTGGGAGGCCAAGGCGGGTGGATCACCTGAGGTCAGGAGTTCGAGACCAGCCTGGCCAACTTGGCGAAACCCCATCTCTACTAAAAATACAAAAATCTGCCTGGCGTGGTGGCAGACGCCTGTAATCCCAGCCACTTGGGAGGCTGAGGCAGGAGAATCGCTTAAACCCAGCAGGTGGAGGTTACCATGAGCCAAGATTGCACCATTGCACTCCAGCCTGGACAATGGCGCGAGACTCTCTCAAAAAAAAAAAAGTGGGGGAGGGAATAAAAGGGCATATAGATTAGAAAGGGAGAAGTAAAACTCTATTTGTAAATGACATGATCTTGTATATAATGCTTTTATATAGAAGATCTTTGGGAAGAACTAAATAACTAAATGAACTAAATAGTTCAGCACAGTGGCAGTGTACAAGATCAATATATTAAAATCAGTTGTGTTTCTATACACTAGCAATGAGCAATCTGAAATTAAGACAGTGATTCCATTTATAATAGCATTTAAAGGAATAAAATACTTAGGAATAAATTTAACAAAAGAGAACAAAACTTGTACTCTAAAAATTGTGAAACATTGTGGAGGTAAATTAGATATAAACTGAAAAATAGTACGTATTTATGGATTAGAAGTCTTAGTATTAAGATTGCAATACTCTCCAAATCTACAGACTTAATACAATCCCTGTCAAAATCCCAGCTAACATTTTTGAAAAATTGGCATACTTAAAATTCATATGGCAATTCAAGGAGTTCAGAATAGCCAACAATCTAAAAAGAGAAGAACAAACTGGAGGACTCACACTTCCTAATTTCGGAACTTACTACAAAGCTGCAGTAATTAAGATAGGGTGGTACTGGCATAGGTAGATCACTAGCATAAAGAGTCTGGAAATAAACCTTCACATTTACAAAAAATGGATTTTTAACCAGGATCCAAGACAATTCAATTGGGAAAGAATGATTTTTCTGACAAATGATACTGGAACAACTGTTTATCCACATGCAAAAGAATAAAGTTAGACCCTAACTCTCACCATACACAAAACTAAATTGAAATTGGACAATACACCTAAATATAAGAGCTAAAACTATACAATTCTTAGAAAAATATATGTCAATCTTTACTACTTGGGATAGGCCAAGCTTTTGAAGTACGACAAAAGAAAAATAGCCAAATTAGACTTTACCAAAATTAAAAACTTTTGTGTCTCAAAAGATGCCATCAAGAAAGTTAAAAGACAACCCGCAAACTGAGAGAAAATATTTGCCATTTATATATCCGTTAGTGTTTCTATCTAGAATATGTAATAAAAAAACTCATACAACTCAATAAAAAATCCAATTAAAAATAGACAAAATATGTGAATAGGCATTTCTCCAAAGAATGTATGCAAATGGCCAATAATCACATTAAAATGATGCTCCATACCATTAGTTTTTAAAGAAATGGAAATCACAATCACAATGAGATACTACTTCACACCCACTAGGATAGCTTTAATCAAAAAGACAGAAAGAAGTATTGGCAAGGGTGTGGAGAAATTGGCAACCTCATTCATTGTTGATGGGACTATAAAATGATCCATACCATTTAGAAAAGTTTGGTAGTGCCACAATTTGCTAAACATAAGAGTTACCACATAACCTAGCAAAGCTACTTCAAAGAGAAAGGAAAACATATGTTTACACAAAAACTTGCAGTTGAATGTTCATCTTAGCATTATATGTAACAGCCCAAAATTGGAAATGACTCAAATGCTCATCAACTGATGGATGGATAAACAACATGAGATATATTGCTACAAGGGACTATTATTCAGCAATAAAAAGGAATGAAGTACTGATATATCCTAGAACATGATGAACTTTGAAAACATTATGCTAAGTGAAAGAAGCCAGTCACAAAAAAATCACATATGATTCTATTTATGTGAAATGTCCAGAAAAGACCAATTTGGAGATAGAAAATGGATTAGTGGTTGCCTAGGGTTGAGTGGGGGACTGGGGGAATTTGAGAGTGTTGGTTACAGGGTATGGGGTTCCTTTTAGAGGTAATGAAAATTTTCTGGAGCAAATGTGGTGACTGTTGCACAACTCTGTGTACATAATAAAAACCAGTGAATTTTAGGCTTTAAATGAGTGACTTTTATGGCATGTGAATTATATTTCAATAAAG